>NC_000017.11:7460807-7612323 GCF_000001405.40 Homo sapiens | reverse complement strand
CCTAAAGTGGCCCTCCCTGTTTACCTTGGTATCTTTTCCTTCATCTGGGTCCTTACCACCCCCAAATTCTGAGTTCCAAGAAAAGTGATTCTTAAGTTGAGTCCAAGATCAAGATATGATGTTTGCTTTGTTCTAGGAAGCGTAGGAGCCCTGCACAGCTGAGAAAGATTGGTATCCAGTTCAAATGAACTGTATGAGATGGCTGGGAAGGGACACGTTTTCTGTCCCACATATAAGTGTCCAGCAGAAAGTCTCTCTGAATCTTTTCCCTTTCTCCTGTGTGCTGTGGCAGTGATAGACTTGAATAGATGGGGACCAGGATACTGTGATTCAGAGAGTAGAGTTTGGGGTTGAGCTGAAAGCCAGGTAATGTGGTAATGTGGATCTGGGCAGGTTAGCATTTTCTGCCCTGTTCCTGAGTTAAAAACCACAAATCCCTAAATTCAGGCTAATCTTCCACTCTCAGTACCCTACAGATACTTATCCGTTTTGACCTTGCTGCTGATTTAATATTCATGACTCAGCAAACTTGGGATGGGTCAGGGAGTATTTACACTGCTTCTGGAATTGTACATTTGGGAAGGTCCCTTTCTCCTCTCTCAGAATTGGGCCCTGTTGTCAGTTTTCTTTTCTTTCTTTTCCTTTTTTTTTTATTTGAGACAGGGTCTCCCTCTGTCATCCAGGCTGGAGTACAGTGGCGTGATGTCGTCTCACTGCAGCCTCCGCCTCCCAGGTTCAAGTGATTCTTGTGCCTCAGCCTCCCGAGTAGCTGGGATTACAGGTGTGCAACACCATGCCTGGCTAATTTTTGTATTTTCAGTAGAGACGGGGTTTCGCTATGTTGGCCAGGCTGGTTTCTGACTCCTGACTTCAAGAGATTCGCCCGCCTTGGCCTCCCAAGGTGCTGGGATTACAGGCGTGAGCCACCACGCCCTCCCGTCAGTTTTCTTAAAGGATAAAATATTAGATCTGGGATCTAAGTTATTTTGTAGCTATCTGAAAATTAAGTTTGTCAGAATTTACTCTTTTTTTCCGTCCTTTTTTTTTTCATGTCAGACTGGCATCCGTAACAAGGGTTGAGGGAGGCATACCTCACCGTGAGCTTGAAACCGCAGTCATCATGCTTAAGACGTACAAAATGGCTTAAGACGTACAAAATGGCCTAATGTATTTTATTCTTTAAGTTGTACTCTCCCAAATGAAGTATTCACCGTCCAGGGCGCAATCTTCCTACTCCAAACCTCATCTGGATATCCTAATCCCCATTCCTTTCTTAATCAACATGGCATCCTCAGCTTCAGTACTTGGTTTTTACTCAGACTGTTCCTGCTCTTCTCCTAGAACCCCCTCCTTTGCTTTGGGAGTCTAGAACTAGAAGACGGTGAAGGTGGGGACCAATTTTATATCTTCTAATTTGAGGAAACCAAAGTACCTAGGAACCTGGGGCTCTCTCTTCCTCTGCTGGCTTGGTGCCAGGCTCCAGAAGCCAAAGCCAGGTGATGCTATGGCCACTGAATCAAGTTATCCTCTGGATCTAGGTGGCTCCCTAATACATTCCACCCACCTGCTCTTGCCTTCACCTGCTTATTTTCACAATGAGCGTAGACTGAGCAGAACTTGGGGCTCACTTCCACCACAGATACCCTTGGAGAAAAAAACTAGTATGGGATGAATGGGTGGAATTTAGGAGCAGAGACAGGATTGGAATATGAAGTTGGGGACAGAGCTAGTTTTGGAGACTAATTGAAGGAAAAAGACCCTGGAAATATAAGGGTTGAGTGAGATTTGGTTGAACTGCTGAGTAATGTGAGAGATTACTCCATTCTGAGCTTTGCATTTCTGCCTTGGAAGTCATGGTAGCTGGGAAAACTAGGGTAATATTGCTGCTCACCCTGGGGCCAAGCCTAACATGGTGGAGGAGAATTGGATTACACCATAGGCATAGCCGATTTGAATATATCTAGGAGTAGAAATCTCTCCACAAAAGCAGTAAATTAGTGATTCTCATCTCTGTCTCTTTTCCACTTCTTTCTGTCAGTGTAACTCCTGCCTTGATAAACTACTTCTAAGGCTTGGAGTAGACATTTTGGGTAAAGAACTGGATAAAGTCAGCGGAAGAGGCTGGTTGGAATAATTCTAGAAATCCAGACGACCCTGCAGCCTCTGCCTCCTGGCTTCAAGTGATTCTCATATCTCAGCCACCCTGAATAGCTGAGGTTACAGCCATGTGCCACCACGCCTGGCTAATTTATATATATGTGTGTGTGTGTGTGTGTATATATATACATACATGTATACATATACATGTATATATATATGTATACATATACATGTATATATATATGTATACATATACATGTATATATATGTATACATATACATGTATATATATACATATACATGTATATATACATATATATGTATGTGTATATATATGTATATGTATACATATATATATAGTAGCAATGGGGTTTTGCCATATTGGCCAGACTGGTCTCGAACTCCTGGCCTCAGCTGATCTACCGACCTCGGCCTCCAAGTGTTGGGATTACAGGGAAAAGAAGAGGGAATGGATAAAATATTAGTGGTTGTGGGAGTGGGGAGGACACTTGAGCAGGAGCTAAGGGAAGAACCCAAAAGGGAAGAGAGACCCAGGCAAGTAGAAGTAAAAGTGCCTCAGAAGACTTGAATGGAGAACAGTAGGAGTTGGCATTAAACCTGAATGAACATGCTCATAACTCAGGTTCTTTTTGAAAAAGGAAAAAAATCTGAATGAAGAGTAGAAAAAACATTTCTGGAGAAGAGAATGTCAGAGAAAGAAAAAGCATGGGTAAAAAAGAGGCCAGGAAGTACCAGTAGTAATTAAAGCCTTGGGCAGTAGTAAGGCTCTAAGAAAGAACATTCAGTCAAGAATGATCTTGACTGACTGCAGCCTCTATAGCAAGACATATCCCTAAAGACGAGAAAGGTGGCTTGTATGAAGAGTGAAATGCAGGCTTAGATTTTCCCATCGTAAGGAAATAGCAATCTGGTAAGTGTTTGTGATTGATTAGTTCTATGAGGTGGGAGCTGTGCATTTGCCAAGGGCATTTTTGGTGTTTTCTCTCCTAAGCTTAGCCTTTGTCCCTAGCAGCAAAGCTCATGAATAGTTCTTGTGTATTAGCCTTTTGAAACCTCTAATTCTTTTATTTTTGTTTATTTATTTTGTTTTTTGAGTCACGGTCTTGCTGTGTTGCCCAAGCTATGGAGTGCAGTGGTGCAATCACAGCTCATCACAGCCTCGACCTCCCTGGCTCAAGTGATCCTCCCACCTTAGCCTCCTAAATAGCTGGGACTACAGGCACAAGCCATCATACCCTGCTAATTTATAAATTTTTTGCAGAGATGAGGTTTCCCTGTGTTGTATGGGCTCTCTAATTTTTTTAAAAAACATCTTTATTGAGCTGAAATTGACATACAACAAAGTAGACATATTTAAAGTGTGCCATTTGTTAAGTTTTGACATGTATGTAACTGAGTCCATCACTGCAATCAAAGGAATGAACATTTCTGTCACTCCCAAAAGTCCTCCATCAACTACCAATCTTCTGTCATTATACATTAAATTGCCCTTCCTGATTTTCGATAGAAATGAAAAGGCAGTTCAATTCAGCTAAGAAAGGATAGTCTTGTCTTTTCTTTTCTTCTTTTCTTCTTTTTTTTTTTTTGAGGCAGAGTTTGCCCTGTTGTCCAGGCTGCAGTGCGATGGCATGATCTTGACTGACTGCAGTCTCTAACTCCTGGCTTCAAGTGATTTTCATGCCTCAGCCACCCTGAATAACTGAGGTTACAGCCATGTGCCACCACGCCTGGCTAATTTATATATTATTATTATTATTATTTTTTTTTTTTTTTAGTAGCAATGGGATTTTGCCATATTGGCCAGACTAGTCTCGAACTCATGGCCTCAGCTGATCTGCCAGCCTCGGCCTCCCAGTGTTGGGATTACAGGCGTGTGCTACCGCCCCTGGCCAGAAAGGATAGTCTTCAACAGACAGTGCTGGAACAAGATATCTTTAGGTAAAAAATGGGCTGGGCACAGTGGTCACACCTGTAATTCCAACATTCTTGGAGGCTAAGGCGGGTGCATTGCTTGAGTCCAGGAGTTCAAGACCAGCCTGGGCAACATAGCGAAACCCTGTCTCTATTAAAAAAAAATTTTAATTTAAAAATATATTAAAAATAAAAAAAAGTGGCCTGGTGCGATGGTTCATACCTGTAATCCCAGCACTTTGGGAGGCTGAGGCGGGTGGATCACCAGAGGTCGGGAGTTTGAGACCAGTCTGACGAACATGGAGAAACCCTGTCTCTCTTAAAAATACAGAATTAGCCAGGGTCGTGGCCCATGCCTGTAATCCCAGCTACTTGGGAGGCTGAGGCAGAATTGCTTGAACCTGGGAGGCGGAGGTTGCGGTGAGCCAAGGTTGCACCATTGCACTCCAGCGTGGGCAACAAGAGCGAAACTCTGTCTCAAAAAAATAAATAAGAATTTAAAAATTTAAAAAACATTGATCAATACCTCACCTTATATATAAAATTTAATTCAAAATGGATCATAGGCTGGGCACAGTGGCTCACATCTTTAATTCCAGCTTTGGGAGGCTGAGGCAGATGGATCACCTGAGGTCAGGAGTTCGAGACCAACCTGGCCAAGATGGTGAAACCCCGTCTCTACTAAAAATATAAAAAATTAGCCTGGTGTGGTGGCGGTTGCCTGTAATCTCAGCTACTCGTGAGGCTGAGGCAGGAGAATTGCTTGAACCCGGGGGGTGGAGGTTGCAGTGGGCCAAGATTGCGCCATTACACTCCAGCCTGGGTGACAGAGTGAGACTCTGTCTAAAAATAAAGGATTATAGATGTAAATGTAAAACAAAAAACTAAAAGTTTAAGAAGAAGACATAAGAGAAAACCTTTGTGGCCTTGGATTAGGCAAAGATTTCTTTTTCTTTTTCTTTTTTTTTTTTTTGAGATGGAGTTTTGCTCTTGTTGCCCAGGCTGGAGTGCAATGGCATGATCTTGGCTCACTGCAACCTCTGACTCTCAGGTTCAAGTGATTCTCTTTCCTCAGCCTCCCAAATAGCTGGGATTACAGACATGCACCACCACACCTGGCTAATTTTTGTATTTTTAGTAGAGACGGGGTTTCACCATGTTGGCAGGCTGGTCTCGAACTCCTGACCTCAGGTGATCTGCCTGCCTCGTCCTCCCAAAGTGCTGGGATTATAGGCGTGAGCCACTGTGCCTGGCCTGGGCAAAGATTTCTTAGATATGAAACCAAAAGCACAGTTGATAAAATAATAAATTCATAAGCTAGACCTTTTTCAAAATTAGAAATCCCTAATTGTATGTGAAAAATAGGGAGAAGGTAGAAAAATTGGGAGCATAGGGGTGAATGCATGGCTTTGGCCTCCTTAGTGAGGACACAGACCACAGGAGGTGGATCAGCTGTTCAGTCATCCCTCTTGCTCTTGTCAAAATATCAAGATTGGAGTCTTCCATAAATTTTATTATCCTTTATAAATTATCAGTGTCATTCTAGATTCAATTCTAGTATTAAAAAACCGATGTTTTTAAATTAAGTCTTAATTTTTCCTTCTGTAAATTGTGTTCATCACAATTTTGAACTTGTCTAGTGTTCCGATTATTGTCTTAGGACCCATGCATCAGGGCAGCGAGTCTGCTCAGATCTCTTGCTGTATTGCGGAGGTAGGCCCTTCTCTCTCGACAGATCCTCATGTCCTCTAGGTGTTCCAGGACAGCCTCACACTGTCTCATGGGATATTCTTAGCCTTGCTGAATGTTGTTGGTATTTTAATTGAACTCTGGCAGGCTGCTTAGCACAACAGGAGGCAGACAGATAGGGAGGCCCCTGTGGGAGCCTGAGTAGATCATTGGTTTCCAGGCTGTTCTGATGCAGGTGGTACATACACCTCTCCATGACAATATCATTTCCTTTCTCTGTTTGACTGCCCATATTCTTTCCCCAGTGCAGCCTTTCAGGCTGTCTCATTACACCACTTGTGTCCCTATCTAAAACTCAAGTTTAAGGTTTTGTGGTGTCTTATTCCCTTGATGGCTAAGGTGGAAGTAAAAGGTCATTTTATTTTTTTTGCTTTTTTCTAAAATCCATTCTAGGGCTTTGTGAAGGATGTCCATGAAGACTCTGTCACCATCTTCTTTGAAAACAAGTAAGACCTTGGGAATAGAGAATCCAGCATACTAGGTCCTAGAAGGAGAGTGGAGAAGAGGGGGCAGCTGAGTCCTATGAGGCATGTAATAGGTTGGGAGAGCTGAGGGTTTGGGTGGGAACTCATATGGATCCCAGGAGAGGAAAGGGCTGAGAATTTGGTGAGGGTGGGGGCATTTGACCCAGTATTTAGAGTCTAGAAAGAGATGGAAGACACTACTATGGAGCAGGGCCTGGGGTTTAGCCTCTAATTATCCAGATAGGTGGAACTCGCCCAGCTGAGGCAATAACCCTTTTGTAAAGAAATGGGCAACCATATCAGTCAGAGTAGCTTTTTCATATTATTGTTTCTATTATAGCTGGCAGAGTGAGAGACAAATTCCTTTTGGGGATGTCCGGCTACCACCTCCAGCTGACTATAATAAGGAGATCACAGAAGGGGATGAAGTGGAGGTAAGGGCTGTGGAGTACACCTTTCTAAATGTCACTTTTCCCCAGGATTCTAGGCTTTTCTCTGGTTGGTTCATGTTCCTTCCTCCCCAACTAAGCCATATCCAGCCATGTAGCCTATGGAAATGTAAAATGCAACAGTTCCCCTTTTATCACTGTTGTGATCAGCCAAACTCTCAGGAACATCCCCAGTTTCAGGCGATTTGCCTTCCATTTATGGTAACAACATCTAAAATCCAGTGCCCTCTGATTTTTTTGTTGTTGTTGTTGTTGTTGTTTTGAGATGGAGTCTTGCTCTGTTGCCCAGGCTGGAGTGCAGTGGCGCGATCTCAGCTAACTGCAACCTCCGCCTCTTGGGTTCAAGCAATTCTTCCACCTCAGCCTCCCAAGTAGCTGGGATTACAAGCACCTGCCATCATGCTCGGGTAATTTTTGCATTTTTGTAAAGACATGGTTTCACCATGTTGGCCAGGCTAGTCTTGAATTTCTGACTTCAGGTGATCCACCCGCCTCAGCTTCCCAAAGTGCTGGGATTACAGGCATGAGCCACCATGCCCTGCCGTCCTCTGATTTTAATTAGTTCCTTCCTCTGGTTTCTTGTATCCTTGGTTTAAGATACATCCCAGGCTGGATGCAGTGGCTCACACCTGAAATCCCAGCACTTTGAGAGGTCGAGTGGGGCAGATCACCTGAGGTCAGGAGTTCAAGACCAGCCTGGCCAACATGATGAAACCCCATCTCTACTAAAAATACAAAAAATTAGCTGGGCGTGGTGGCGGGCGCCTATAATCCCAGCTACTTGGGAGGCTGAGGCAGGAGAATCGCTTGAACCCAGGAAGTGGAGGTTGCAGTGAGCTGAGATTGTGCCATTGCACTCCAGCCTGAGCACCAAGAGCGAAACTCTGTCTCAAAAAAAAAAAAAAAAAGATGCATCCCAAATACCTTTTTTTTCTTTTTGAGATGAAGTCTCACTCTGTTGCCCAAGCTGGAGTGCAGTGGCGCGGTCTCAGCTCACTGCAACCTCCACCTCCTGGTTCAAGTGATTCTCCTGCCTCAGCCTCCTGTGTAGCTTGGAGTACAGGCATGTGGCACCACACCCGGCTAATTTTTGTATTTTTAGTAGAGGTGGGGTTTTACCATGTTGGCCAGGCTGGTCTTGAACTCCTGACTTCAGGTGATCAGCCCACCTCAGCCAAAGTCCTGGGATTATGGGCATAAGCCACCGCGCTTGGCCTCTTTTTTTTTCGTGGAAGTGGGGTCTCACTGTGTTGCCCAGATCGTTCTTGAACTCCTGAGCTCAAGAGATCCTCCCACCTTGGCCTTCCAAAGTGCTGGGATTATAAGCTTGAGCCACTGTGCCCAGCAGCCCCAAATATCTTAATGGTTGTTCTATTGTTTATGTTGCCCAAGCTGGTCTTGAACTCCTGGGCATAAGCAGTCCTTTTGCCTCAGCCTCCCAAAGCGCTGAGATTACAGGTGTGAGCCCCACCATGCCCGGCCTCCTCATCCCTTTCTTGATGCTTTTGGGTGGTCTTCAATATCTCTTTGATTCTCTACTTTTCTTTAGGTTTATTCTCGAGCCAATGAACAGGAACCTTGTGGCTGGTGGCTGGCCCGGGTGCGGATGATGAAGGGAGATGTGAGTGACTGGGAATGCCTTTGGAGAACTACTGAAACAAATATGTTATTCATAGAAAGTTGCTCAGGTCATCCACAACTTCTCCTTTTTTACCATGTGCCAGTTCTATGTCATTGAATATGCTGCCTGTGATGCCACCTACAATGAAATTGTTACCCTGGAGCGACTTCGGCCAGTTAATCCCAATCCCCTTGCAACCAAAGGCAGCTTCTTCAAGGTTACCATGGCTGTGCCCGAGGATCTGAGAGAAGCGTGAGTGTTAAGGATGGTGGGAATGAGGGCCCTCTTTACAGCCCTAATCTCTGGCTTTATTTCTCCCAGGCATCACTCCCACTTTGCAGTTTTCTCTGTTGTTCCCCTGGCCCTCTACTAGAGCCCTTCTTGCTAAGAAGACACTTAGTTTCTTTATTTTCCCATCCTTGTTCTTTAACTGTGGTCCCTCTTCTTTTCTTTTCCTTTCTTTCTTTTTTTTTTTTTTTTGGAGACAGAGTTTTGCTCTTGTTGCCCAGGCTGGAGTGCAGTGGCACAATCTCGGCTCACCGCAACCTCCACCTCCTAGGTTCAGGCGATTCTCCTGCCTCAGCCTCCCGAGTAGCTGGGATTACAGGCATGCACCACCACACCCGGCTAATTTTGTATTTTTAGTAGAGACAGGGTTTCTCCATGTTGGTCAGGCTGGTCTCAAACTCCTGACCTCAAGTGATCCGCCTGCCTCAGCCTCCCAAAGTGCTGGGATTACAGGCGTGAGCCACCGCACCCGGCCCAGTCCCTTTTCTTTTCTTATTTACTCAGCCCTGCTTCTCTGAATTTTTTTTTTTTTTTTTAATAGAGACAGGGTCTCACTATGTTGCCCATGCTAGTCTTGAACTCCTGACTTCAAGTGATCATCCTGCCCTAGCCTCCCAAAGTGCTAGGATTACAGGTGCAAACCACCATGTCCAGCCTCCCCCGAACTCTTCACTGTACTCTCTGCATTCTGCCCGCTGAGTACTTTTTTCCTCTGCAGCTGCTCCAATGAAAACGTCCATAAAGAGTTCAAGAAAGCCCTGGGAGCCAACTGCATCTTTCTCAACATCACAAACAGTGAGCTCTTCATTCTGGTGAGTTTATTCTGCCTGAATTTCACATAAGCCTTTTGAACATTTTTTCTTTTTCCCTTTTTAACCCTTTTGCAGAAAGAGAAGGGCTTAAATGTGCTTATATTTATTTGTCAAGAGGACTTTATTGCTCCTGACTCCTACAGGCCCAGGTAGCCCTACCTTTTTTTTTTCTTTTTTTTGAGACGAAGTCTCACTCTTGTCACCCAGGCTGGAGAACAATGGCACGATCTCGGCTCACTGCAACCTCCACCTCCCGGGTTCAAGCAATTCTCCTGCCTCAGCCTCCTGAGTAGCTGGGATTACAGGTGTGCGTCACCACGCCGGCTAATTTTTTTTTTTTTGAGATGGAATCTCACTCTGTCGCCCAGGCTGGAGTGCAGTGGCGCGATCTCGGCTCACTGCAACCTCCACCTCCCAGATTGAAGCGATTCTCCTGCCTCAGCCTCCCGAGTAGCTGGGATTACAGGCGCCTGCCATTGCGCCTGGCTAATTTTTTTTTGTGTTTTTAGTAGAGACAGGGTTTCACCATGTTGGCCAGGCTGGTCCTGAACTGCTGATCTCCTGATCCACCCGCCTCGGCCTCCCAAAGTGCTGGGATTACAGACGTGAGCCACCGCGCCCGACATGCCCGGCTAATTTTTGTATTTTTAGTAGAAACAGGGTTTCACCATATTGGTCAGGCTGGTCTTGAACTCCTGACGTCGTGATCCGCCCGCCTTGGCCTCCCAAAGTGCTGGGATCACAGGCGTGAGCCACCACGCCCGGCCTCTGACCCTTTTTTTTTAAACCTGATAATCATGTTGCCATCTGGGTTAGAGACCCTCTCTTGATATTTGGACTTTCAGAAATAGAGTATGTAGCTCTCACCTTATGCTTGCTCCTTGCTTTCTCTCTAAACCATTTTCCTTCAGTACCCTGATAGTCAGCCTTTGTGGGACTGACAATGAGTCTCCTCCTTCCTAGCTTCATTTCTTTTTTTTTTGAAAACAGAGTATTGTTCTGTCACCAGGCTAGAGTGCAGTGGCGCAGTCTCGGCTCACTGCAACCTCCGACTCCCGGGTTCAAGCGATTCTCCTGCCTCAGCCTCTGGAGTAGCTGGGATTATAGGCATGTGCCACCACGCCCAGCTAATTTTTGTATTTTTAGTAAAGACAGGGTTTCACCACGTTGGCCAGGATGGTCTCGATCTCATGACCTCGTGATCCGCCTGCCTTGGCCTCCCAAAGTCCTGGGATTGCAGGCATGAGCCACCGCGCCCGGTCTCCTAGCTTCATTTCTTAACCCTTTTCCCGGGACTTAGGCATCCTGATTTCTAGTCCCTGGCTCTCCCTTAGTGTTTATTCCAAGCCAGTTTTAATGACTTTCCCACTGGTTTCCTCCCAGTCAACCACAGAAGCCCCTGTGAAGCGAGCATCTCTGCTGGGTGATATGCATTTCCGAAGCCTGCGCACCAAACTGCTACTTATGTCCCGCAATGAAGAAGCTACCAAGCACCTAGAGGTAACTTTTAGCTCCTTTTCCTTCTGCTGAAGGGTATTGTCTTCCTCCCTTCCTACCCTGTCCTCCATCCATGATCTTGTGTTTACAGAACAAAGACTAAGGCTTTTTCTGGGCAATTAAACCTGGGTCAGCTATTTTATCTCAGACTCCTCCAGATGGCAGAGCTCTATCATGGTATAGTGCAATTATTTTCAAATTTCTTTTAGCCAATTTTTTTTTTTTTTTTTTGGGAGACAGAGTCTCGCTGTGTCGCCTAGGCTGGAGTGCAATGACACGATCTCGGCTCACTGCAACCCCTGCCTCCTGTGTTTAAGCGATTCTCATGCCTCAGCCTTCTGAGTAGCTGGGATTACAGGCGTGCGCCACCACACCCGGCTAAGTTTTGTATTATTAGTAAGATGGGGTTTTGCCATGTTGCCCAAGCTGGCCTCGAACTCCTGGCCTCATGTGATCCACCCGCCTCAGCCTCCCAAAGTGCTGGGATTACAGGCGTGAGCCACCACACCTGGCTGAATGGTTTTTTTTGAGACGGAGTCTCACTTTGTCACCCAGGCTGTAGTGTAATGGTATAGTCTCAGCTGACTGCAACATCCACCTTCTGGGTTCAAGCGATTCTCCCGCCTCAGCCTCCTGAGTAGCTGGGACTACAGGCTTGTGCCACCACACCCAGCTCATTTTTGTATTTTTAGTATTGATGGGGTTTCACCATGTTGACCAGGCTGGTCTCAAACTCCTGACCTCATGATCCACCTGCCTCGGCCTCCCAAAGTGCTGGGATTACAGACATGAGCCGCTGCGCCCGGCCTTGGTCTTGAACTTCTAGGCTCAAGAGATCCATCTGCCTGTACTTTGCAAAGTGCTAGGATTACAGGTGTGAGCCACCACATGCAGCCTAGACTAGAATATTTATTTTTTAGGGTGGGCGCGGTGGCTCACGCCTTTAATCGCAGCACTTTAGCACTTTGGGAGGCCGAGGCAGGCAGATCAATCCGAGGTTGGGAGTCGAGACTGGTGAAACCCCATCTTTACTAAGAAGACAAAAATCAGCTGGGCGTGGTGGCACATGCCTGTAATTTCAGCTACTCGAGAGACTGAGGCAGGAGAATCGCTTGAACCTGGGAAGTGGAGGTTGCAGTGAGCCAAGATTGCGCCATTGCACTTCAGCCTGGGTGACAAGAGTGAAACTCTGTCTCAAAGAAAAAAAGGATATGACTGGGCGCGGTGGCCCACGTCTGTAATCCCAGCACTTTGGGAGGCTGAGGCGGGCAGATCACCTGAGGTCGGGAGTTCAAGACCAGCCTGGCCAACATGGGTGAAACCCCGTCTCTACTAAAACTACAAAAATTAGCCAGGCGTGGTGGCAGGCGCCTGTTGTCCCAGCTACTCGGGAGGCTGAGGCAGGAGAATCGCTTGAACCTGGGAGGCGGAGGTTGCAGTGAGCCGAGATCACACCATTGTACTCCAGCCTGGGCAACAAGAGTGAAACTCCATCTCAAAGAAAAAAAGGATATTTCTTGTTTTTTTGTTTGTTTTTTGAGATAGCGTCTCTGTCGCCCAGGCTAGAGCGCAGTGGCGCTATCTTGGCTTACTGCAACCTCCACCTCCCAGATTGAAGCGATTCTCCTGCCTCAGCCTCCCAAGTAGCTGGGATTACAGGTGTGTGCCATCACACCTGGCTAATTTTTGTCTTTTTTAGTAGAGATGGGGTTTCACCATGTTGGCCAGGCTGATCTCAAACTATGGACCTCAGGTGATCCGCCCACCTCGACCTCCCAAAATGTTGGGATTACAGGTGTCAGCCACCACGCCTGGCCTGACTAGAGTATTTCTGTGAGATCTTTTTGAATTCTGACATCGTATAATTGTCAGATTCCCTTTCGTTGGTATTATACTATTCTAAGTGAATAGGGTGTGTGTGTTTGAATACCATTTCCATTTATCAAGGGAATTGATCTTTTTGGGAGGCTTTTTTCTGTGCCTGTGCAATTTCTGGGTCATGATAATCTTTGACTTCTTCAGGGATCCTGCTCAGGGCACTGGCAGGTAAAAATTCACCATTACCTTCAGATGATACAAACTTTATTTTTTGTTTTTGTTTTTTGTTTTGAGATGGAGTCTCAGTCTGTTATCCAGGCTGGAGTGTATGTAGTGGTGCGATCTCAGCTCACTGCAGTCTCTACCCCCCGAGCTCAAGTGATCCTCTCACCTCAGCCTTTGGGTGGGTGGGATTACAGGTGCATGCCACCATACCTGGCTATTTTTTTTTTTTTTTTGGAGACAGTTTCCCTCTGTCACCCAGGCTGGAGTGCAATGGCACAATCTCCGCTCCCTGCAACCTCTCGCTCCTGGGTTCAAGCGATTCTTGTGCCTCGGCCTCCCAGGTAGCTGGGATAATAGGCACGCGCCCCCACGTCTGGATAATTTTTGCTTTTTTAGTGTTTCACCATGTTGCCCAGGCTGGTTTTGAACTCCCGACCGCAGGTGATCCACCTGCCTTGGCCTCCCAAAGTACTGGGATTACAGGCATGAGCCACTATACCTGGCCCTAATTTCAGTATTTTTAGTAGAGACGGAGTTTCACCATGTTGGCTAGGCTGGTCGCGAACCCCTGGCCTCAAGGGATCCACTTGCCTTGGCCTCCCAAAGTGCTGGGATTATAGACATGACCCATTGCACCCGGCCTAATTTTTGTTGTTGTTTTTTAATTTTTTGAGACGGAGTCTCATTCTGTCGTCCAGGCTGGAGTGCAGTAGTGCGATCTCAGCTCACTGCAGCTTGTGTAGTTAGCGCAGAGTGAGCAAAGGGAGACCGATACAAAATTCGGTCAGAGAGTAGATCATGTAAGACATGTACGGTAGGCTGAGGAGGGGGGATTTTATTGTGCGTATACTGAGAAGCCATTGAGTTAACAGTGCCTTCTGGTTTTTTGTTTTGTTTTGTTTTGTTTTGTTTTTGAGACGGAGTCTCGCTCTGTCACCCAGGCTGGAGTGCATTGGCGTGATCTCGGCTCACTGCAAGCTCCACCTCCCAAGTTCACGCCATTCTCCTGCCTCAGCCTCACGAGAAGCTGGGACTACAGGCGCCTGCCACCACGCCCGGCTGATTTTTTTGTATTTTTTTTTAGTAGAGATGGGGTTTCACCGTGTTAGCCAGGATGGTCTTGATCTCCTGACCTCGTGATCCACCCACCTCGGCCTCCCAAAGTGCTGGGATTACAGGCGAGAGCCACTGTGCCCGGCCGAAAGTGCCTTCTGTTTTAAACTCCTGTTTCAATGACAGATGGAAAGGGGGGCAAGAATGGAAGCAGGAACAGAGCACAGTAGTCCAGGTGAGAAACTTGAACTGGAGTGCTAAAGGAAGAGAGAGAGAGTAGTTTTATGTAGGATAAATTTTACGAGTAAAACCAGTAGGACTGACAGGCTCTGTGATACTGAGAGATACATATTTGGTCTCCTGACCAGGCTCCTGGCATTCAACTTCTAAAATCCTTGGAATCTCCAGTGATGTGTGTTTTTGTGTGCTGATGAGTTGATTCATGGCTAGCCCCTCTAGGTGGCTTCATGATTAGAGGGTTGGAACTTTCAGCCTCACCCCCACCAACTTCCTGGGAGGGGAATGGGGCCAAAGGTTAAGGCAATCACTGAGGATCAGTGATTTAATCAGTCATGCCTAGTAGTGAAGCCTCTAAAAACCGGAAAGGGGCCGGGTGCAGCGGCTCACGCCTGCAATCCCAGCACTTTGGGAAGCCGAGGCAGGTGGATTGCCTGAGGTTAGGAGTTTGAGACCAGTCTGGCCAGCATGGTGAAACCCCTTCTCTACTAAAAATACAAAAAAAGGGAGGCAGAAGTTGCAGTGAGCAGAGATCATGCCACTGCACTCTAGCCTGGGTGACAGACCCCATCTCAAAAAAAAGAAAAAAAAAAAAGAAAACCCAGCTGTTCTGCAAGCTTATCTAGAAGACGCTTATAGGTCATTGTAGATCTCTTCCCCTCCCCTCCTAATGTAGTGATTTTGAACACTCAACTTAGTTTATTTTTCCAACTTTCTCTTCTTGCCTGGTATAAATCCTTGGTATAATTCAGTCCTATCCAACTTGGAAGTGGGAAGTAGTGTATTTCAATCTAGGAATGTCTCCTTTCAGGTATTGTTTCTATTTGGTGCTTACAACATGGGATTCACTCCTCTAAAACCTTTCCTGTCTTCCTGCCCCTGAACCCAGGGGTTCCTCTAAGGACTGATTGAGAAATGAAGTGAAAGCCTGGTGTTCTAGAGGCATGTTTTCTGTTTTTCTTAACCCCTCACTTTTTTTTGAGACAGAGTTTTGCTCTGTCACCAGGCTGGAGTGCAGTGGCATGACCTCGGCTCACTGTAACCTCCAACTCCCTGGTTCAAGCAATTCTCCTGCCTCAGCCTCCCAAGCAGCTGGGATTATAGGCACACCCCACCAAGGCCAGCTAATTTTTGTATTTTTAATAGAGATGGGGTTTCACTATGTTGGCAGGATGGTCTTGATCTCCTGACCTTGTGATCCACCTGCCTCAGCCTCCCACAGTGCTGGAATTACAGGCGTGAGCCACCGCGCACAGCCTACCCCTCACTTTTTACTTAAGTTGTTGAGTTTTATTTGGGGATGAGTTGATATTTGTTTGATTAAGGTAAGAGTTCCTTACACTTGCATGTACCTTGTGAGAAGTACTTTCACACCAGCCTTGTCTAATCCTCTTGCTAGTCTTGAGAATAAGATAAGTTGGATATAATCACTTAGCAGATGACACAAGAGGCAGAGTATGTTTTGTTTAAGATCACACAGATAGATACTCTTAGGGACAGATACTGTTAGGGCCAAATCCAGAACTTCGGTGTGTCCCAGTCCAAACTCTGCCCTCTTTACCTTTCCTCCCCCACAAACCACTGGTATTTGGAAGGAGTGGAATTAAAAGTTCCTGACCTTGGCCGGGCGTGGTGGCTTATGCCGGTAATCCCAGCACTTTGGGAGGCTGAGGCGGGCGGATCACCTGAGGTCAGGAGTTTGAGACCAGCCTGGCCAACATGGTGAAACCTTGTCTCTACTAAAAATACAGAAATTAGCCAGGCATGGTGGTGGACACCTGTAGTCGTAGCTACTCAGGAGGCCGAGGCATGAGAATCACTTGAAGTCGAGAGGCGGAGGTTGCAGTGAGCTGAGATCGCGCCACTGCACTCCAGCCTGGGCGACAGAGCGAGACGCCATCTCAAAGAAAAAACAAAAAGTTCCTGACCTTTCCACACAGGTCCTCGTGGTCCGCGGACTCCAGAGTGGTTCTAGCTTTCTATTAATATCACACAGTTTTCCTTATTTAAGTTATGCAAAGGGTCGTGTGCCTGGGACTGTGAGATTCTACCACCATGATTCCTACAGTGACTTTTCCTTTCAGACAAGCAAGCAGTTGGCAGCAGCCTTCCAAGAGGAGTTCACAGTGCGAGAGGACCTGATGGGACTGGCAATTGGGACTCACGGTGCCAACATCCAGCAGGCCCGAAAAGTACCTGGGGTGACCGCCATTGAGTTGGGTGAAGAGACCTGCACTTTCCGCATCTATGGGGAGGTCAGCAAAGGATGTCTTTCTTCTGGGTCTCTTAGGGGATAGAGGGAAGAGAGGCCGAAGTAGAAAATAAGCCTCAAACTGGGCACAGTGGCTCACACCTGTAATCCCAGCACCTTCGGAGGTCAAAGTGAGAGGATCACTTGAGCCTAGGAGTTTGAGACCAGCCTGTGCAACATAGTGAGACCCAATCTCTACAAAAATTTAAAAATTAGCTGGAAGTAGTGGTGCGTACCTGTAGTCGCAGGTACTTGGGAGGCTGAAATGGGAAGATAGAGGGGAGGATCACTTGAGCCTGGGAGTTGGAGAACAACCTGGACAACATAGAGAGACCCTGTCTTTACCCCCCAAAAAAACCAAAAACCAAAAAACGTTAACTGAGCGTGGTGGCATGCATCTGTGGCCCCAGCTACTTGGCTACTTGGGAGGCGGAGGCAGGAGGATCACTTGAGCCTGGAAAGTCAAGGCTGCAGTACACCATGATGGTGCCACTGAACCAACCTGGGCAACATAGTCAATAGAGTGAGACCAAAAAATCAAAAAAATAGACCAGATCTCTGTTGCCCAAGCTGGTTGTTAACTCCTAGCCTCAAGCAATCCTCCCTTCTTAGCCTCCGAAACTGTTGAGATTATGGGTGTGAGCCGCTGTGCCTGGCCAAGGTCCTCTGTTTTTTTTTTTAAGTTATTTATTTGTTTAATTTTTTTTTTTTATGAGATGGAGTCTAACTCACTCTGTTGCCCGGGCTAGAGTGCAGTGGCACAATCTCAGCTTATTGCAACCTCTGCCTCCTGGGTTCAAGAAATCTCCTGCCTCAGCCTCCGGAGTAGCTGGGATTAGAGACGTGAGCCACCAATTTTGTATTTTTAGTATTTTAGTATTTTTGTATTTTGATTTTTGTATTTTTAGTAGAGATGGCGTTTCACCATATTGCCCAGGCTAGTCTTGAACTCTTGAGCTCAATTTATCCACCTGCCTCCAGCCTCCCAAAGTGCTGGGATTACAGGCGTGAGCCACCACATCCAGCTGGTCTTCTGTTTTAGTAACAACTCCCTGCTGTTCTTCCTTTAGACTCCCGAGGCTTGCCGACAGGCCCGAAGCTACCTTGAGTTTTCTGAGGACTCAGTGCAAGTGCCCAGGAACCTGGTTGGTGAGTTGGTGGTGTGTATATACAGTTAGAGGTCAGAATCAAGATTCTCTACAGTGATTCTGAGCTTTTATCCAGGATTGGCACCTCCCTGTGGACTCCCAGTTTCACAAGGACAGAGAAACAGTCTGTAATGGGAGTGATAAAAATGAAAGAATAAATTTCTAGGGATTGTAACATTTTGTCCTGTAAAAACACATCAGAAACCTAGAAGCAGGAGAATGAAGTAAATGGAATCCATATAAAGAAAATGAGGCTGGAAGACGGTGTATCAGCTTTATTCTTATTTCCTTAAAAAAAATAAAAGGCTGAATTCCTCATTTACCTATTCCAGGCAAAGTGATTGGAAAGAACGGGAAAGTGATCCAGGAGATTGTGGATAAATCTGGTGTGGTGAGGGTTCGAGTGGAAGGTGATAATGACAAGAAGAACCCCAGGGAGGAGGTATGGGTACGGGGCAAGTGGGCATAGAGATTGGTTTCCAGAAGTAAATGGGATTGTCCTCTGAGGGCTGGGATTGTTCTTTGAGAGGGTGGAGTACGGAAAGTTGTTTAACACTAGTAGATTTAGAGCCCAGAATGATCCCACTGGGCAGGCTCCCCTAGGAGACTGGGCGGCGTTAATCCTTCCATTTCATTTTCCTTTCTGATCCATCGTTTCTGCTCTCTGTTCTCTAGGGAATGGTTCCCTTCATTTTTGTTGGCACCCGAGAGAACATCAGCAATGCCCAGGCTTTGCTGGAGTATCACCTCTCCTACCTGCAGGTACCCAGGCCGGGAGAGAAAAATGCTGGGTGTGAAAAGGGAACTAAGACTGCTGTGGGGGTCAGCTCAGGGATTTTGGTTCTCTGTTTGTCTCTCCGTGTAGAACAGAAAACATCTGTGGAAATTTGGGGCTATAGGGTTGGGTCCCAGAATTTTCCTTGTTTAGCCAGTGTCTTCCTTCTCCCTGCATTCCTGAGAGGTTAGATATAGAGGGACAGTCAGGGTGCAGAAGCATGAAGCAAGGCACTGATCTTATTTCTCCTTCCCCTTCTTCCATCTTTTACCCAACCAGGAGGTAGAGCAGCTTCGCTTGGAGAGGCTACAAATTGATGAGCAGCTTCGGCAGATTGGGCTGGGCTTTCGCCCTCCTGGGAGTGGGCGGGGCAGCGGTGGCAGCGACAAGGCTGGATATAGCACTGATGAGAGCTCCTCCTCCTCCCTCCATGCGACTCGAACCTATGGGGGCAGCTATGGGGGCCGTGGCCGTGGCCGGAGGACAGGCGGTCCTGCCTATGGTGAGACAGTTATGGGAACAGGAGGCAAGGAGTGGCAGGGCTTGTGGGTAGAGGCAGAGGTCTGGATGGAAGTTTGGGGAAATCTGGAATGGAGATGATGAAAAAGTGATTGATTGGCTGGGAGGCTTGTGAGTGAGAAGGAGAATTCTTCCAGTTTGGGGGATGTGATGGATCCTGAGGTGGGATGAATGGCCGTGAATAAATCCCATTGTGTTCTTCAGGCCCCAGCTCAGATGTGTCTACAGCTTCAGAGACTGAGTCAGAGAAGAGAGAGGAGCCCAACCGAGCTGGGCCTGGCGACAGGGATCCCCCAACCCGAGGGGAAGAAAGCCGGAGGCGGCCGACTGGGGGCCGGGGTAGGGGACCCCCACCTGCCCCCCGGCCCACTTCGAGATACAATTCTTCATCTATTAGCTCAGGTACCAGACAGCTGGGTTCATGAATATGGGCCAAAAGGAAAGATGATGGGCACCTGACTGCCAACTCCTCCTCTTCTTCCTCTGACCAGTGCTGAAGGATCCAGACAGTAATCCCTACAGCCTATTGGACACGTCTGAACCAGAGCCCCCGGTTGATTCAGAACCTGGGGAACCCCCCCCAGCAAGTGCCAGGCGCCGCCGCTCCCGCCGCCGCCGCACTGATGAAGACAGGACCGTCATGGATGGAGGCCTGGAATCAGATGGGCCCAACATGACAGAGAATGGCCTGGGTGAGGGTGTGCCTGGGGTCTGGAAAGTTAGAGATGGGTAGGAATCGAGGGTGGGAGGTTGGATGTGTGACTCTGGTTTTTTCCTACCCTACAGAAGATGAATCAAGACCTCAACGTCGTAATCGCAGCCGCCGCCGCCGTAACCGTGGTAATCGGACTGATGGCTCTATCAGTGGAGACCGCCAGCCAGGTCAGCCAACTCTGGACACCAGAATCCTTCCTCAGAGCTGAGAGAATGGGATGCTCACCCCTGTGAAAATCAGGGGTTCGGGTTCAGTGGGTGTCTTAGGCTGGCTACCAGAATTCCATCTGAAAGTCTTAATCTCCTGCCTTCCCCAGTGACTGTGGCTGACTATATCTCACGAGCAGAGTCTCAGAGCCGCCAGAGGCCACCCCTGGAACGCACTAAACCCTCAGAAGACTCTCTTTCAGGACAGAAGGTAGGCAGGCAAGATGTGCTTTACCCCATCCCTTTTTTGTTGTTACTCTGGGGCAGGGGGCACAAAAAATTTCACAAATCTCCTACTGAATTGCAGAGGCAGCTGTGTCTGATGGAGTTTAGACCAGTGTAAACTTTGAATAGGATAGAGAAGAAAGTGTGGTTCACATTTTCTGGATCCCAAGTAAGAGAGACTGGATCATGAGATCAGGGAACCAACCTCTGGATCACCAAATGCCAGGAGGGCTTGGATGGTAGGGAATGTCTCCCACCTGAATTTCTACTCACCGCTTCTTGCTTTTCTGTTTTCTTTCCCACTTTCCCCTCAGGGTGACTCTGTCAGCAAGCTTCCTAAGGGCCCCTCGGAGAATGGGGAGCTCTCCGCCCCCTTGGAGTTGGGTAGTATGGTGAATGGGGTTTCATAAAACCTCCAACCTGCACCCCTCCCTTCTCCATCTCGCTTGCTGCCCAACACCATGGCCCTCACAGGCCCAACTGACCTGCGCTGGAGCTGCTCTTATCTAGGGGGGAGGGGGGTGGCACAGCAGCTTGGGTACCCCCCAACCTCCAGGAGCTAGTGGAGGGGTGTGTAACAGGGTCATACCCCCTCCCTCTTGTCCACCCTACCCCCAGGGTAAGGGGAGCCTCTCTCCTTCCCCATCAGACTGGATGTGCCTTTATCCTCTAATGCCCCAATCTCTCTCTGAACACCCCCATTCTCCACCTGTTGGTGGGGGGTGCTCCTCGACCCACCCAGATTTGACCGTTCAGGGGGCCTCCCCTGCTATCCCTCCTCCCATCCTGTACCCCCCATTTCTGGGGCCTCATCACTGTGGAAGACGGGGATAGTAAGAGATAAGTGGGTGGGAGGCACGGGGAAGGTTTTGGAGTAGAACCAGGGGTGTGTATGAAGGGGGGTGACAAGGTCCCCCTGGGGAGGGGACCAACCTTGTCTGGTGGATGAGAAGGCGTATTTATTTTTCACTGTACAGTATTTAAAAAGAGAATAAAAAAATCCAAATGGCTGTCTGGCTCCTGTGCCTTCTTTGTCCCCAGTTTGGTCCATTTGTTTCTCTAGGACTGACCTGCCCTGGCCCCTGGCTCTTGTTTTCTGTTCCTCCACATCTGACTTCTCTTCATTGTCTCTTGTCCCAAAGATGGTCTTACTTCTGGGAATTCCTGACATTCCTAAACTCCCCAGGCCCAGGTTCTCCCTCCTGGTTCAGAGGAGGGGGGCTTGTGCCTTGTTGCTTCTCCCCTCCCCCAAGTTTGCTGGTAGAGGGAGTTGGGCCACTCCTATACCCTGAGTCACAGCACAGGCTAGGCAGGGCTGCTCAGAGCTGGAGCTGTTCCTGTAGAAGCTGAGAGCCAAGGCAGGCTGCTTAATCCGATTACCTGAGGCCTGGGGCTTGGGCTGGGCCGTTGGGCAGAGTGGGGAGCAGGGTTCCCTCACAGCAGCCTCTGGAGCCCGGGGTCCGGCCTTCTTGGTGGTGTTCTGTTCTGGCTCCAGGCTTTTTCTCCGGCATGCGCATCACAGACCTCTTAACTTGGGGAGTTGTCCTGGGTTTCCTGGCTCCCCCCTCATGACTTGGACGACTGAAGCTAAAACTTGCCATAATTCAATAGCAGTGGAGAAATATAGGTTTAGGGACTGGAGTTGGGAGGGCTTAAGTTTTCTCACTTGGGAAAGGGGTTGAATCACGGCCCAAGCACCTGCTGGAATGACTCAGGAAACAAAAATGGTCTCCCTCCTCGGCCTTTCTTGCCCCAGGGGCAGTTCTGGGATTTGAGGAGCAACAGGCACCAGGAAAGGGGTTGGGGTGGTGGTCCGGGATGCTCCCAAGCTCCTCTCAGCACAACTCGGGCCCTGAGGGCACTTCATCCCCCTGTGTTTGATCCCATTGTGGAAAGAATTGGCTTTAAATTGCCTGTGCTTCAGGGAGGGGAGGCAATCAGCAACGGGCTGGAAGGCCTGACATCAGGTCTTGGGTGGGGGGGGCGGGGGGCGTGGCACCCTGAGGGTGTTGGGGGCTGGGACAAACAGGACACCTGGGTTTACCTACGGGCTGAGGATGTTGGCGCCCTTAAGGAGGTGCAGTCTTATGGGAGGGACAGGGGCGGAGTCAGTCTTTAAAAGCTGTTCCCAGGTCTGGCCCGCCTGCCACAAACGCTGAGCCCAGGTGGGAGAGGTCTGGCCTATCCGCGCCTGGCAGCTGTCGGAACTCCGGAGACCACAAAGGGGTTTATGGTTTACCCCCTCCACGGAAGGTCGGTCTGATCGCAGCTGCGGGTCGGGGAGAGGGACCGGGGGTCCCCCAGTCAGTAGGCCTCAGAACACCTCTTCAGTGCCGGGGCACCAGACAGCGGATTTTGCATTCGACTCTCCCCAAAGTGTGCCGAACAGGTTGGAAGCAAAGGCTCCGGTTTAAGCTCTGGGCTTGGGGATAAAATACACTTTTTAAGGACCCAAGTTCCTCGGCAACGACTCCAGACTGGGAAGACCTTTCCATTTTCAGGATCGACGCTTCACGTTGAGGGGAGGGCATTCAGGACGCCCTCTTAAGGCTTCTCCCAACCCATGGCGCTACCAGGCTCCTCACAGGACCAGGCCTGGAGCCTGGAGCCTCCGGCTGCCACGGCTGCTGCCTCCTCATCTTCGGGACCCCAGGAGCGGGAGGGCGCTGGGAGCCCCGCGGCCCCCGGGACGCTGCCCCTGGAGAAGGTGAAGCGGCCGATGAACGCGTTCATGGTGTGGAGCTCCGCTCAGCGCCGCCAGATGGCGCAGCAGAACCCCAAGATGCACAACTCCGAGATCTCCAAGCGCCTGGGCGCGCAGTGGAAGCTGCTGGACGAGGACGAGAAGCGGCCCTTCGTGGAGGAGGCCAAGCGGCTCCGCGCCCGACACCTGCGCGACTACCCCGACTACAAGTACCGGCCTCGGCGCAAGGCCAAGAGCTCGGGCGCCGGACCTTCCCGCTGCGGACAGGGAAGAGGCAACCTGGCCAGCGGCGGCCCGCTCTGGGGGCCGGGGTACGCGACCACCCAACCGAGCAGAGGCTTTGGGTACAGACCCCCCAGCTACTCGACAGCCTACCTGCCTGGCAGCTATGGGTGAGTGCCTGGGAAGCGGGCCGAAGACGGAGGCCCATGCGCCCCTCTTCTGGAGCCTTGGTGGGGGCGGATGCCGGAGGACGGGAGCCCACCCAAGCAGAGGCCACTCGCGGCCAAGGTGTGGCGGGCGCAGGCCCAGTACCTCCGGGGCCTGTGTAGGGTGGGGCGGATCAGGGTTCTCCCAGAGGGCGTTTCCATCTCAGTCTGAAGGTGGTGGGCCCTGTAGGGTCAGGTGACTGACCCCTGGATGCGACTGTGTCCTAGTTAGATGCCCCGTTTCCCCCCTGCTTCTGGCCTGTGTGTGACCCAGCTTCCTCTCCCAGCCCCCAGGGCAAGGAGAGGCCGAGCTCATTCTGCCCTTTCCTGGCCTGACTCCCCAAGAGGAAAACAGCCGTGCAGCACGCAAGCCCGCTCCCGAGCGTGCCCCAACAGGGCCGCGGGCTCTCCATCCCGGGGTCGGCTTCCATGCCTGCTGCGCCCAGCGGGCTGGGTAGCCAGGGCTGGGTGGGTGGCACGCTCTACCCTGTCTGCCCAGAACTGGCCAGACTCACCTCCAACCCAGGGAAGTGCCCTCTAACCTCTTGTTTCTCTCTGCAGCTCTTCCCACTGCAAACTGGAAGCCCCCTCACCGTGCTCCCTCCCTCAGAGTGACCCTAGGCTCCAGGGGGAACTGCTGCCCACCTATACCCACTACCTGCCCCCTGGCTCTCCCACTCCATACAACCCTCCCCTTGCTGGTGCCCCCATGCCCCTAACCCACCTCTAACCCTCATGGACGCAGACCTCACGGGACGGGCCTCATCCTCCTTTTTTAATCCAGCAGCATCCCCTACCCCAGGCTGTCAACCCTTTCTCCTGTTGGACTACAGTTCAGAGGCAGCCTGCAGTCCTCCCATGATAGCCAGGGAGAGCCGCACAACATACAATTATATTTTTGGTAGTATTAAACAGTTTTGTATTATTCAACTGAGTCTCCAGTCTTTATTGTCCCATCTGTTCCCCTCACTGCAGCAGGAACCAGCCCCATCTCCACTCCCTTCCGCCTAGACCTGCCAGAGCAGGAACCTCCTCACCCCACCCTGGGGCCCTGCCTGAGTCATTCTCCGTCCCCCTTCCCCCACCCCAGCACTGGGGTCCGGGAGACAGTCCCAGCCGGGCTGAGGGAGGGAGGCAGCCACAGCCTCCCAGTCCCTCCACTCTGCCGTCCAGACTCAGTCTTCCAGGGCCAGAAGGGAAGCAGGGAGGCTGGAGGACAGGGTAAAACATTTGCCCAGGATAGTGTTACACAGCTGGAAATTGCTGCTAGAGGAGGAGGCTTGGCTGAATGACTGAATTAATAGTACATGTACAGGGCTTACGAAAGCACTCAAATGTCAAAATTTTGGCTTGGGAGACTCTACCCCCATCCTCTCCTTTTCTAAGGATCTGGATCCATCAACCATTTGTTTCCACTAAAAGAAAACCCTGGCTCAGAAAGTCTGCAAGTGCAGAGGAATGGAGGATGAGTAAGTCACACCAGCAGGCTGGCTCAGATGGGGAGAACCCTGAGGTTGGGTGAATGAGTGGAAACGGAATGACTCCAGTAGCTGGCTCTACTGCGCCTTTTTCTGCTTGTGGGGAGGCTTTGCATTCCAGTAGAAGAGCAGCTGGGCGGCGATGAGGCCGTTGCAGAGAGAGGAGACCACAAAGGTCCCAGCCATCAGGGGATCTCCGGTTTCCTGGTTGCAAGAGACAGAGCCAGGGTTACCCTTCAGCATAGCTCAAGAAAGGTTCCCTTATGGACAAAGGTTCCTCACGGGGCAGCTTTGGCCCTTAGCTGGGAGAAGTAAGACGAGGTTTTAGTGCCTTCTAGAAGGAAGATGTTGCACTCACCTGAATGGAAGTGAAGATTCGGGCCAGGGAGCCCCCAAACAGCAGGAAGACTGTGATGGCTGAGAGCTGGCCTGTGTGCCCGTTGTGGTAGTTGGTGGCTGCCTGGAGAAGCTAGGGGAGGAGTTGAGACCTTTGGCTCTGTCACCTGAGCTCTTCCCATGCTCCCCCAAGTACAACACCCCCACACTTTGATCTTCTACTCTTCCCCCCCACCCTGCCCCCACAACATCTTGTCCCTTGCTCCTGGTACCCACCCTCCCCACCACCACAGCAGGCACATTGGAGGCCTGGAGCAGGGTGACTACAGTCAAGGGCGTCAGAGGTGAGAGAAGCACCAGCAGGACCAGGCCGTAGCAAGCGAGGAAAGCGACACCTAGGGGTGGGGAGACAGGAGTCCTTGTCAATCTCTCCACATCATTTGGCTTTCCCAGACCTGAGTTCCCAGCAGGGTTCCCAGGAACCACACAGCCTGCTCTTGGGTAAGTCCCCAGCACCTTTCACAGTCTGTCCTCTGTAGTGCATGACCAGGAAGCAGATGGTGATCGTCTGGAGCATCAGGAATAAGGCTTCACCCCAAGAGCTGCAGAGTCAAGAGTTGGGAGGAAGAAAGGCGGGCCTAGAAAGAGGCAGGGAAAGCCTCCATAGCCCATCCATCCAGGGACACTATGCTCTGATCACGCTTCTCTACAGCCCCCACACGGGACTGGCTCATTCTGAATCGTGGCCATTCTCGGGATGCTCACCCCTTCTCAAGATCACCTCCACTGGTGATGATTAGGTTTCTAAAAGGGCTTAAAACTTTCCTAGCCCCTTGTCCCTTTTTTTTTTTTTTAAGACTGAGTTTCGCTCTTGTTGCCCAGGCTGGAGTGCAGTGGCGCAATCTTGGCTCACTGCAACCTCTGCCTCCCAGGTTCAAGTGATTCTCCTGCCTCAGCCTCCCAAGTAGCTGGGATTACAGGTGCCCATCACCACACCCAGCTAATTTTGTATTTTTAGTAGAGACGGGGTTTCACCATGTTGGCCAGTTCGAACTCCTGACCTCAGGTGATCCACCCGCCTCGGCCTCCCAAAGTGCTGGGGTTACAGGTGCAAGCCACTGGGCCCGGCCACTTTGCTGCCTTGTAACCTCCTTCACCTTAATCCCCATTAGAGTTGTGGGTATTACCCTTGGGGTGGAAGGGTGGGCCCCTCACCTGAATGGGAAGTTGTTAGTGATGCTGTAGACCATGGTCCCAGTCAATGCCACTAGCTCCAGCATTACAGACTGGAGACTCAACCCTTCAGCACTCTTGGCTCCCAGGATTTTAAACACCTGGGGCAGCTTTACTAGGGGAAAGATGAGAAAAGTAGGACTGAGGACTCTCCATTCTTTGGGATGCAACACAACAGCTATAGAACGAACACCCACACAGTTGATGGCCTCTCAGCACCTCCACCCCAACCCAACAGCTGGAAAGAAAGATAAGAGACATACCTAGAAGTGAGCCAGCCACAATGCCCAGCCCCAGGCCTTTGCTGAGGAGAATCTTGAGGCAGGGGACTGAGGAGAGAAAAAAGGGTAAGCAGACAGGAGATGTCTGAAACCCAGGCCAGGGCTTGAAGCTCCTGTGGGCTCTCCCCGAGCCCCCTTACCCACACCAGGGTCTTGCATTGTCTTGGGGGGAGGAGAGGCGGAGGGCAGTGAGAAAGTCCTGGTCCTTCCTGCTCCAAACCACCACACTTTTTTTTTTTTTTGGAGACAGAGTCTTGCTCTGTCACCCAGGCTGGAGTGCAGTGGCCCAATCTCAGCCCACTGCAGCCTCTGCCTCTTGGGTTCAAGCAATTCTCTTGTCTCAGCCTCCCAAGTAGCTAGAATTACAGGCACACACCACCATGCCCGGTTAATTTTTGTGTTTTTAGTAGAGACAGGGTTTCACCATGTTGGCCAGGCTGGTCTCGAACTCCTGACCTCAGATGATCCACCTGCCTCAGCCTCCTTAAAGTGCTGGGATTATAAGCTCGAGCTACCGCACCGGGCCCCAGACTGTTACTTTCCAAAACAGCTTTTCTCCGATGCCTACCACCCCCCACATCCAATCTTCCATTCCCTATAAATTAACACCCAAACTTGGCTTGACCTCCACGGCTCTCCATTGCTTCCCCATATAAAGCTGAGAAATGCCCAAGAGCTCTCTGATCCTTTATTTCCCTTCTCTGGGCCAATGGGTGCCCCATTTCACATGTCTTCTCTCTCCAAAGACAAGTCTTCATACCATTTTTTTTTTCTTATTTTAATTTTGAGACGGAGTTTCACTCTTGTTGCCCAGGCTGGAGTGCAATGGCACGATCTTGGCTCACTGTAACCTCTGTCTCCCGGGTTTAAGCGATTCTCCTGCCTCAGCCTCCCGAGTAGCTGGGATTACAGGCGCCTGCCACAACGCCCGGCTAATTTTTTGTATTTTTAGTAGAGGCGGGGTTTCGCCCTATTGGCCAGGCTGGTCTCGAACGCCTGACCTCAGGTGATCCACCCGCTTCGGCCTCCCAAAGTGCTGGGATTACAGGCGTGAGCCACCGTGCCCGCCCCATACCACTCTTTCTTGAACACTCTGACTGTCCCTGGCCCCTACTCAGGGACTAAACCTTACCCTTTCAAGGCTTGCTTTTATGCCCTGGCCATCCACAACTTCTCTAGCCTTGAAGCCTTCCCCTCAAGGAACTTGGTCTAGTGGGAGTCTGACTCTCACGGGTCATGAATGCGGCTAAAACAAAGTGCCCCACGAGCTCAAGAGAGGTACCATGAACTGACAGGGGCAGACTGACGCTCCCCAAACGGTCTGACGGTGACCCTTGTGGAGCTGTCTCGCAATCAGAAAAAGGAAGGGAGGCAAATTATTCCGAAATCAGACTATGAGCAAACCTGGAGGCTGGAAAGAAAGCAATCAGGGTGGCGGAGCCTTTGGGGGTGCAATGAAGGCCCGATTCATCAGGGGCTTTGAATTAAGTTTAACCCTGCTAGCGATCTAATAAAGGTTGGCATGATTTGACTTAATTTTTATTTTGTTTTATAAAAGTTGACTCTTCGTTTTTCATTGTCGCTACAGCACAAACTCCACAAAGAAGTAATTCCACCCGGTGACTTCCCCACTGGCACTAATATGGTGTCCTCCCTCTAAGGAGCCCGAGACACTTCCGCCCTTCTCAGAAGTGACTTCCGTCCAGCTCGGCATGGCGGCAGTCACTGCCGTCACTTAGTCGCCGATCAAGGCTTGGACTAAGGGCCCACGGTCACTCGAGTAGGACTTGGATCGGATGCTGAATAAAACTCACCGTGAAGCAAGTCCCACTGAACGAAAAGTTGGTCGTAGCATTTCTCAGGTAAAAGAATCGGCACGAGCAGCCGTTTAAGCGGTCCGTCCGCCTCGGCCGCCATATTGCAAAGCTAGCTTCCGCCAGTCTCTCCAGACCGCCATTGACTTTCGTTGCGCGTGCGCGCTGCGGACACTCCGCCTCCCGTTCTTTTCCCGCGGCGAAGCTGGCCCGCCCCGTGCCCCGCTCTTTCTGACGCTACCCACCCTCACTCTAGTGGCGTAAAATAAGTCTCAGTCAGGGACCACGTTTTGGACGCGCTGTTGGAATTGTAAAGCTTGCCGAAGCTGCACGCCTGCGCGGTTAGACCTCCCACGCCTTTGTTGACGCTTCCAGTTTGGAAGCCAGATTTACACCCCTGCCTTTCTCCGCTCCTCCTGCTGGGCGCCATCTTGTCTTCTCCTAGCACACTTTGTATTGTTCGAAGTTGAGAGAGAAGGAGCCGGAGTCTCCGAGGTGGCGTTGGGTGGGGGCGCTACTAGCTCCCGTTCTCTCAGCGTCTCTAGAGGGAAGGGCGCCGGTGGGAGCAGGAGAGTCTGCACCGGGCAGGCCTCCTTAGGTGCCGGGTTGCGCGCAGGGCCCTGTGCTTGTCTCGCCTCCGGTTGGCTCAGGCCTCGGAGCATGAGTGCGCCGGCAACTGCTGGGCCCGGGACAGTGAAGCAGAGGAGGAGGTGGGGGAGGCGAGCCCAGGTCGGGGAAGGGCAGCACCTGAATCACCCTTGGGGCCCAGACCCCCAAGAGTCTCCGGGGAGCCGAGGCCTGGCGAGGCAGTCCCGGGATTCGCCCCCTCCCCGCTGGCCCGAGGGCGCACCACGTGCTGGGCAGAGACTTCGGCGAGGCCGAGTGGACCCTGCAGCGCTGCTTGGGAAAGGGCACCTTGGACTACCTGGTGGGGGCGTTGTGCTTCGTTACCGACCGCCGGGACGCCAACCCACGGTGCCCACCCGTGCGTCATTCCGCTGTGGATCAGCCCTTTGGCGGCCCCCCTCCAAAGTCTACAAGGTCACACGGATGTCTGCAGGCAGAGGTGGGGCTGCTGGGGCCCTGCCAGGTGAGGGCTGCCCTTGTGGGGCAGTCTCTGGGCCTTGGAGGCCGGAAGCCTCCTGGGGCTCCTACGGCTGGGGGGTGCTGCTCATCCTGGCTCCCAGGGATTGCGCCGTAGCCAGCTGTAATGGGTGGGACTGGCGCTCACTGCTGGTGCAGGCTGTGGCCATCTGGGAGGTCCTTTCTGGAATCTGGACCTTGGCTGTCCTGAGAGTGACACTCCTCATCTCAAGTACTGGGGGCATGAAGTTAGGCTTGGCAGGTGGCCCCGTGTGGGGGGCATGCTGTTCCCAGGAGCCCCCAGTGGAGGTCAGAGTACCCACTGCTCCTTCTTGATTCAACCCCTTGTAGGTGGGATAGGAGCATGCCAGGTGCTGCGAGGGTTTAATCGGGCTCTTCTGCTGGCCTTGAATATGGTGGACAGGACAGGACATTCTCATTGCTCAGGAGCCACTGGCGCTGCCTTTGGGAATGAAGTTCCACAGCCCCCCACTCATTGCTTTGGCTGTCTGCTGCATTTGAAACTGTACGAGGGTCAGGAAGAAGGCTGCGGGGATGAATGGCTCTACCGGCTTGCCACGGATGGGGAACTGGAGCAGCCAGTGGCCCCAAGAGGAGGAAGGAAGGGAGGCACGGCAGACCCAACACCAGCTGTGCCAGGCTTTGGGGGGTGAACCCATGAGGCATCGTCACACACTGACATTTTCATCCCTCCTCAGCAGCTGCTTCCGGCTCCCTGAGACCCAGCCATGGAAGGCATAGAAAGGCATGTGACAAGAAACTCATGGCTTTTAATCCTGGCAGGACAAGGAAAACCCCGTCAAAGATTTGCATAAATTTTGCTGCTCTCCTGCTGGGGGGGGGGGGGGGGCAGTTCGTCACATTTAATAAAATTCTCTCCCTCCCTTCTCCCGACTGCATTATCTCATATTTATTTATTTGAGACAGTCTGGCTCTGTCGCCCAGGCTGGAGTGCAGTGGCGCGATCTTGGCTTAGTGGCGCGATGACGGCTCACTGCAACCTCCACCTCCTGGGTTCAAGCAGTTCTGCCTCAGCCTCCCAAGTAGCTGGGATTACAGGCCAGCTGGGATTACGCCGCCACACCTGGCTAATTGTATTTTTAGTAGAGACAGGGTTTCACCATGTTGGCCAGGCTGGTCTCAAACTCCTGACCTCCAGTGATCCACCTGCCTCAGCCTCCCAAAGTGCTGGGATTACAGGCATGAGCCGTCATGCCCGGCTTTCTTTTTGTTCTTCAAGAAAGGGAAGGAAAATAACATTGTCTTTGAGCCAGTTGCGTGTCGAGGAAATAAGGGTACCCCCCCACCACACCCCAACCCCCTCAGTGCCCTGGGGTTTGAAGCAAATGCTCAGAGGGCCTGGTAGGCGGATGGGCGTCTCCGGATGATGCAGAAAGCAATAAGCACCAGGGCGAGGAGGCCAAGAAGGATCAGGCCGATGATGAGAGGCAGCAAGATGGACCGGTCACTGGGGCAGGAGAAACCTGGCGGAAGGATAGGGCAGGTAGGTATTTGCAGTGACGTGCTGGTTGGGATAAAGGTGGGAGGAGGGAATGGGGGGATGCTGGGGAGTAGGAGATTGGTGAGGAGCTCACCGCAGTGACTCAGCAGTGATAAAAGGGGGAAACTGGCAGAGTCTTGTAGAGGATGGAAAGAAAGCTGCCCTGTAGCCATGACAAGCTGGGAGAGCGAGATTTGGGGGGTTAAGAAGAGAGATGAGTGGCTTATGGGCCTGGGGAAGGGGTTTTCAGTGCAGTGGGAGGATTCTAGGAGGGAAGGAGTAGGTAGGTCTTACTTTGCCCAAAGACCCCTGTGTGGGGCAGCTGAGCAGCCTGGAGCCTCAGGGAGAGCAGGTCGAGGTGGACAGCTGGTGAAAGAATGATGCTCGAGTTGCTGCAACTGAAGCTCTGCCCCAGGGGTGCTTGGAGATCTCGAAGGGATGCATTCTGAGCCGAGAATGTCCACTCTGGAGGAGTGAGGAAGGGTCAGATCCTATCCACCTCCCTGGCCCCAGCTTAGTCCTTTCAGGAACCCTGGCGTCTAGTGGTAGCAATGAGAAAGGGAAGGAGGTTACTTACGTGCTGCGTGGGGGAAGGACACATTGTACTCCACCGCCATGTAGCTCAGGTAGACAACCTTCTGCTGGAGGTCCTGTGGGGCGAAGAGGAAGGCGCAGGTGGTATCCCTCTCCACAGAGGAAGGAGTAGCGTGTGGGATTGGGAGGGGAGGGGCGCCGGGAGGCTGAGTGAGGGGTGAGACTGAGGTCATGGCTATACCTGCATGAATCCAAAGCTGAGGTGTCCATAGGGGAATGAGAGAAGCAGGTGGGGATGGGCACCCTCACAGCTTCCCTGGACCTTGGTTTTGTTGGGGTTCAGTACAGAGATGCCCCAGGCCTGCGGAAGTTAAAGACTGGAAGGTCACAAGACTGCATGCGATGCCGGCCAAGGTTCCCTGTCCCCTCTTCCTTCTTCCCTCTGAGCCTATATCCAGTCCTGCCTCCCTCCCCTCTCATCCCCCAGTTTTAGCTTTACCTCTCCTCCACCCTGGGTTGTGTACATGACTCGAATCTGAATCTGGGCTTGGAGGTGGACACAGGGCTGGGAACCATTGGTCCACGTGTAGTCTCCAATGGTCTCCTTGGAGGTTGGGCTAGGACTCGGAGAGGGTGGAGGTGGTTCTGGGTGGGCAGAACTGGTGAATCCTGGGCTGGTGGCAGTGCTGTTGCTTGTTGGATGAACCGTGGCATTTCCATGACTAGTGGTGGCAGGACTGTGAGTGGCAGTTGAGGGTCCCTGGCTGGTGGCAGTGCTATTGCTTGTTGGATGAACTGTGACGTTTCCATGGCTGGTGGTGGTGGGGTTGTGAGTGGCAGTCGTGGGTCCGTGGCTGGTGGTGCCTGTGGTGGTTGTCCTGTGAGTGGTGGTTTTGTGGCTCTTGGTAGTCCTGTGGCTGGTTGTTCCAGTGCTCTCTGTAACCGTGGGTGTCACCGTGAAGGATGGCAGCAAAGTAGCTGATTTTTTGTGAGGACAGTCATTCCCTGTCCCCTGGGCTTTTGGCAGAGAGGAGATGGTTAGCAACCCAGGGCAGGCTCCCTCCCAGGGGCCCCCTCCCCTCAGCCTCCTTCCTCCTTACCTGCCAGTAGCCCCAGCAGGGCCCCCGAGAAAAGCACAGCCAGCCTCATGGCTGAACCGCCTCACCCAAAGTCCAGCTAGGCTGTCTGCACCAGTTGCTCAACCCTGCTCCCTCAGCCCTCTCTTGGAAAGGAGGAAATGAAAGTCTCACTTCCTGTACTGGAGATGATCCCACCCACAGCCTGACTCAGGGGCCTCAGCTCTAGCCACCTCTCTCTTAGTCATTAGTTTTTGTAATTAAGTTAGGGGACTGTTGGCCCTGCTTCATCAGGGCAAAGTCAACAGTGTCACATGGGTGCAAACGGAGTCCTAGGGCAGTTGATCCACAGGGATCCATGTGTCAAACTCAGCGAAACTTGCTTGGCAGTTGTGGCAAGTAGCTATGGGAACAGCTGAGGTACAGGCCCCTCCCTTGGTGGGGAAATCGGTTTCCACTCCTTTCCCCTGGACCTCTGGGCTGACCCCTGTACTACTTCCTCTTGGCTGAGGCATGTGAGGGGCTTGTGACCATCCACACCCAGCCCTTTACAGAGGGGCAGCACTCCAGTCAGCATTGTCATTCACAGAGCCGAGAACATGGCTTTCCAGCGTCTGAGAACTCAGATGGTGACAAGAAAGCAACAGCCCAAAGGTAACCATCTGCTGGGGAAGGGGGGAGCAGAGATGCACCCAGTAGCAGGTGGGAGAGGGAAGGGGAGGTAAGAAATGAGAAGCCCAAACAGGCAGTTTCCAAGTCATTTTATTCAGAATTTTGTGTTTGTTTCCTGAATCAATAAATACTATACAAAACAATGTAAAAATGGCTACCATTTTCTCTCCCCTGCTTCCCCCCACCTGGGGACAACCCCCTGGGCAACCTCACTTAGGGGTTTTAGGGGTTCTCCCTCCAGATTTGGTCCAGCAAATGAGGCTGAGTGACATAGTCCCTTGAATCACTTTCAAAGGAGCTCAGCTGAGGTGAGGAGAGCCTCTGGGATCTGGAGGTTACTAGGTTAGGGAAATGGATTAGTGTTTTTTTTTTTTTTTTGGGAGAAGAGCCGGCGCCTGGGGCAAGAGCCTACCCCAAAGAAAAGGGTGTCTAAAATGTTCACGGTTCCTTCTTTTGCCTCAAAAAGTGACATTTATTCAAAGAAAAAAAATGACAAGATGTCCATCCCTTGGCTCCCTTCCCTCCCCCCTCCTGCTGCTCCTCAGCCCCCAGAGATTGAGCCCTGGCTGGGGCTGGGTGGCAGGACAGCCCCTCAGATGAGGTCAGCAACATTGAGGGGCATTTCCTCAATGGAGGTGTTGTAGAAGGTCTCAATGTCTCGAAGAGTCCTCTTGTCTTCTTCTGTCACCATGTTAATAGCCACACCTTTACGGCCAAACCGTCCACCTCGACCGATTCTGGAAAACAAGGAAGGGGATGAGGAATATCAGGAGCTTTAAGCCCAGGGAGGGCCAGGTGTGAAGGGGTAGGGGAGTGTTCCAGATCTACGCTTACCTGTGGATATAGTTTTCCCTGTTGGTGGGAAGGTCATAGTTGATGACTAAAGAAACCTGCTGCACATCAATGCCTCTGGCCTACGTCAAGAAAGACAACTCTTCAGCATGTGCACGGAGGACACTCTATCCCGGAGGGAAGACACTTAGGCATCCATGTGGGCAGCCAAGGAAGGCAGAGGAAATAAGCATCCCAGTTCCCCAAAGGCCTTAGGCATGCCAGATTCTATTCCAAGCTGCTACTTTCCTGAGAGGCACTGATGTCCCCTTGGAGAGGGAATCACCTTGGATCCTCCCTTCTGCCTTTGCTATCAGTTCCCTCTACTCACCAGCAGGTCAGTGGTAATCAAAACTCTGCTAGAGCCAGAACGAAACTCCCTCATAATCACGTCTCGTTCCTTTTGGTCCATATCTCCATGCTGGAAGAGAAAACAAATATGCAGCAGACCAGGTAGGCACCTGGGTTCCAGGAACCCTGGCTTCAAGTAGGACACTTCTGACGGGCAGACCCACAACAGGCTGGCAGCGGGCAAACACACCATGGCGGATACAGTGAAATCTCGAGCATGCATCTTCTCGGTGAGCCAGTCCACCTTCCTCCGGGTGTTGATGAAGATGACTGCCTGGGTGATGGTCAGGGTTTCATACAAGTCACATAGTGTGTCCAGCTTCCACTCCTGGAGGTTGGGGGACAAAAATCAGTCAGGGGCTATACCCAACAACTCACTACCAGGCCCGCCTCCTGCACTGGGCCCCACCTCTCGTTCCACGTTGATGTAGAACTGGCGGATACCCTCCAGGGTCAACTCTTCCTTCTTGACAAGAATCCGAATGGGGTCCCTCATGAACTTCTTGGTCACCTCAAGCACATCAGAAGGCATTGTGGCTGACAGCAAAACTACCTAGTGGAAAAAAAGGCCAGTCTTAGAGTGCTGGTTCCTTCCTGAGGCCTGCTCCCTTCCCTAGCCACACCTAAAACTGAAGCAGATGCATAAAAAGGCTCAAGAATCCAGTATATGGTTCCCCTGGCACTTACTATTTTTCAAGAATCATTAGCTATTCAAGCAAGACTGCCCTCACCTGGGTGTTGCTGTTGAGCTTTTGGAATATGTCATAGATCTGGTCCTTGAATCCACGGCTTAACATTTCGTCAGCTTCATCCAGTACAAACATCTTGATGTATTTGGGGGCTAGAGAAGAAAAAAAAAGCCAATATATAGCATATGATTAGGGAAATGTGGGAGAGATATATCCAACTTCGCTGATAAAAAACAGAGAGGAGCCAAGTAGTCTGCTCTCAGAGTACAAAGACTGATCCTTTGCCCAGGACCTTCCCGCCAGGCAGACAACAGCCCTGGGAAGTAGGACACTGCCAGGGCTGCACTGGCAGGGAAGCCAGAGGCTCAGATGACACGCATGGGCTCCATCACAGAGCAGCTCTTCCCCCAGAGAGAAACCAGCATCCTTGGGAATGACTCTGGCTTACGCTGAAAGACTGGAAAGCGTGCACAAGAGCAAAGTGACCCAGGGGATTGGAGAACCGAATTACTCACACAGGTATCTCCGGTTAAGCATATCAAACACACGGCCAGGGGTACCCACGATGATGTGGGGAGCTTCCATCTGCAGTTTCTGCACCTCAGCACGCACGTTGGTGCCCCCGATACAGGCGTGACAGGAGGCGCCCATGTAGTCTCCTAGTGCCATGACCACCTTCTGTATCTGAGCAGAGAGAGGCAGGTGCTCATATGTCAGTTACCACTGTGCCCGGCACCATTCTTAAATGTTTTTCATGTATTGATTCCTAACCAACAACTTTGGGGCATGCACTATTATTAAACTCACATTCAGCTGAGAAACAGGCAGAGGCTAAAATCCACTTAAGATCGTGCTGTCAATAGGTGGCAAAGACAGGATTTCAACTCAGTCTGGTTCCTGAGTGTACAGTGATTCACAATGAGGCCGCTCAGATAATTAATTCAGTTTCTTTACTCTAGATATTTAGAACCCTTAACCTTCTGAAAACTAATTTGACCAACTGCCTCATCACGCAGCAACCATTTTTTTTTTCTTTTTTTGAGACAGAGCTTTGCTCGTTGCCCAGGCTGGAGTGCAATGGCACAATCTCAGCTCACTGCAACCTCCACCTCCTGGGTTAAATTCTCCTGCCTGAGCTTCCCGAGTAGCTGGGATAAAAGGCACACGCCACCATGCCTGGCTAATTTTTGTATTTTTAGTAGAAGCGGGGTTTCACTATGTTGGCCAGGCTGGTCTCCAACTCCTGATCTCAAGAGATCTGCCTGCCTTGGCCTCCCAAAGTGTTGGGATTATACGAGTTGAGCCACCACACCCAGCCAGCAACCAGTTTTATAGAACAGGTGATGCATATCCATGTCCTATTGCACTCCTGCCATAGGACCCAAGCTACGAGGCATGTTCACTCTGAGAAAACTGAGAGCCAAGTGCCTTAGAATGGAGCTCTGCTGTAACTTCTTACATTATCCACACCCAGAATAATCACTGCCCCTGCCACAGAACATTTAAAAACATGCTCTGACATCAGTGTTGCAGCATGACCCAGGAAAAAGTCCAGCATTAGAATTGTGTGTGCCCCAGGCATGAAACAGCTCTGGCTATTAAGCAAGGGTGAAAAGGACTGTCCATCTGCTCTGACTACTGTAAGATCACCCCCACACCAAGGGATCTCTTAGCCCATAGTGAAGGTGCTTATTCAGAACACAGTCAAACTTGCCCAGCCAGCCAGGCTTCACCCAACAGCTTTCCCATTTGACTCAGGAAATGGGTGGAGGAAGCAATGGTTACGTTTGGGTAAGAAATAGCTTTTAATTAACCCAGCAGGTCTCGAGAGTGTTAGGGCACCCATGTCTTCCTCCCAAGGTGGTGATCAGAGAAGACTTCTCTGGTCCTTGGATTATACTCATCATCCCTAAATCAGCCCTGAAGGAGGGAATAGAAGCCACTCTTACCTGCTGAGCCAATTCTCGAGTGGGTGCTAGGACCAAGGCCTGGGTGGCTTTTAGATCTAATTCAATCTGCTGCAGAATCGATATGGCAAATGTGGCCGTTTTCCCAGTCCCAGATTGGGCTTGAGCAATCACATCATAACCTAAACAAATAAATTAGGAGTTGAATGTGGTAAAGAGCATACCCTTTGGGATATTCAAGTCCTAGGTTAATGAGGTCAATAAGCAACCAATGAACCAAGCATTTCATGGCTCACAAACTACCTTCCCAATCAACACAGTTACACAATGGGAACCAGATCAGAAACAAGGACCAGTTATTAACTCATCTAGTATTGCACACCAAGCTGGACTAGAAACATGGCTGTAGATGCAAATATAAGCTGGCTACAATACCACCTCTTTAAAGGAAACCTATGTGTCCAAGGCATGAACCAGGCATGGGCACGGATCAAAAGCCAAGCTGGGATGAACAAGGAGTTGCTTTGTCCCTGGCTGATATGAGATGGGCATCACCAACCAGATGCCACTCTACCCAGGTCAGGGACAGTCCACAATGTCTTCTGGGACTGAGAGGTCTCACCCTTGATACAAGGTAGAATGGCTCGCTGCTGGATGGCAGAGGGCTTCTCAAAACCATACGCGTAGATGCCACGGAGAAGGGACTCCGAGAGGTTCATGTCATCAAAGCTGTCAACAATCTCATTCCAGTTACTCTAGGGGATGCAAAGAAATTAAAGCTTGAGTCATGGAAAAGGTGGAGCTGAGCTGTAGTCTCCGAGCAAACAGAATCTGGTGCCTACTAACAAAAGCCTCAGAGCTTACAACCCTCCTCCCTTTAGGGAAACCAGCTGCTTCTAGATGATCTGGGAAATCAATCAAGAGGCCACTCTAACTCTATACGGCTGAAAGTTGTAATGGGGGAGGACAGAATTCCATTTCTCCAGTCTCACCTCGATGACGCCTTCGGGCTCCATCCCATCGGGGCCATTGTCTCTGGATCTGTTGGTTTAAAGCATAAGTTTTGTCCCCTGCCCGACCGAAGCACTCAGAAATCCTGACAGCCGGGCTCTGTCAGGAGTGGCCTGCATGATGCCATCAATCTGCTGTCCCAGATCCAACTCCCACCAGCTCCCAAAAAATACCCAAAGGAGGAGTTTCTATAAAACTGAGGCATTTGCCCCATGCAGGCAGCGGCTCAGGCCAGGCCACCCCCGACATAAGGGGGTGACCCTTTCTGAAGACAGGCCGGCAGGCGTGCCGCCGCGCTCACGGTGCCCAGAGGTGGTGCTTGCCGCCGGGTCCACGTGGGCCCGACCCAGCCGCTTAAAGCCCAAGCGCGTGCACCTCCCACCGCAGCACCAGCGCGCTGGAAGTCCCGCCCTTCACCTCCCAGATCGGAGGGTAGGACATCCCCTTCCCCCCACGTCATCCCGCCCGCGCCCTCCCCCACTCCCTCCAGCCGAAGCCCCCCCCTCGCGTTGCCCGGATGTGGGAGGCCGCGGGCGGTGGCGGCCTCGCGCACAATGAGCCCAAGCCGAGCTAGCAAAGGGGGAGATTGCACAACACTTAGAAGCGAAGCAGACTGGGGGAGGGGAACGCCTCAGGCCACCATGTGCTCGCTCCCTCGACCACCCGGCGGCGTCTCCCACCCCTCCATGAACAATCCACATCCCGCCCGCCCCCGTCGCGAAGTAGCGTCGCCCTCCCATACCTCAGGCCGCTCACCCCCGAAGGAAGGTGGACCTGCCCATCCGCAGTTTGCCAATAGCCCGGCTTGTGCGGCAAAATGGACCCGCCCGCCCGGCGCCGGGTGGGCTCCTGGTGCCTCACGCGGCCGCTCCTCGGGGTTAGGCTCAGTCCTGGCCGTCAAGAAAACCAGCACACTGAACGGCCGGTTTCTTCTCCCCGACCCGTGTTTTAGCCGCGACGAAGTGACTGGATCTAAGGACCAGGCACCCCCGCCTCTCGCGAGTGGTACCGTCAGAATGCTCCGGAACCCCGCGCGCCGTCCCTCCCCCGGCACAGGGAGGCAACCGGACCTGCCGGCTCTGGGCCACACATAGTGGCGGCCGCCTCCACCTTTCTTTCCCACGCCAGGTCGCGACCCCGTCTCGCCACTCAGCGCCGGGGCTTCGCGCATGGCACCGCCTCGGGTCGAGGCCTCGTAACAGACCTCGCACGCCTGACCCTAGCCGGGCTGTCCCTACCCTCCGCCTCGACCTGGTGGCCGCGTCGGCCGTGGGTCTTCCCCCTCGCCCCTCCAAGTCGGACCCTCCCCCCACCCGGTTCGGTTTCTCCCGCAACCCTGGTGGGCCTCTCAGCTACCCCCGGCGGGCCCGTCGGAAGGGGGCGGCAAAATAAGCAGCCACAATCTCTTGCAAATGCCTTTCTTACCGGGAATCCTGGCTCGCAGACATGATCCTTAGAAACTAGGGCGGAGTGCCCGCCTATCGACAACTTATAGAGCGCCCGACTCCGCCCCGGCCATCGCATTGGTTTGGCCGCCCCGGCCCCGCCTGCCGGCGCTCAGCAACTCGGCATGACGTTAGTTCCTAGTCGCTCCGGCCCGCAGGCACCATTGGATAACTCGAGTGCCTATCAAGGTGAAGGCCCGCCCCGCAGCCTCATTGGCTGGAGGGCCCGCCTTTCTCGCCGGTACGGAAGTGACATAGAAGAGTCAGGCCTCGAGGCCTGGCAGCCATCTTGGGGCCCTGCACTCTCACACGTGCGGAGGCGACAGTGCCTTGGTCATGTGGCTCCGTAGGCCCTATCACGCAAGGGGGGCGAGGTCTCAGCCTCCAGAGGCTTCCGGGCTCTGGGGGTTATCACTTCCCTTTACTTCTGCTCCCGGTCTCCACTGGACTCAAATGTTATTTGTTTTCCCCTGTAGCAGAGATGGATTCGACACTGCCTGGACGTGTGCCAGGGATGAAGGAATCAACAGCGATATCGTAGGGATGGGAGGATTCCCCTGGCTGGATGGTGGAGGGATGGAAGAAAACTGTAAAGGGCTTTGGGGTACTATCATGAATCCTGGTTGGTCCCCTCCCCAGTCCCTTGTGTCCAGTTCCCCAGCTTCCCTCTCGGATGCCCTTATTCTTGAGGCTTATCTACTTTCCCTCCTTCCTGCTCTCTGCTCCCATCTCGGGGATTTGTTTGGGTGAAGACAAGGTGTTGGCAGTGCCTGAGCCAGGGATGGAAAGCTGAACCCTTTAGTCTCAAGAGACTGGCTGGAAGGTCTGAGCTAAGCATATCCACTAATTTGAAGCCCCTTAAGGAAGACCACCACTTACGTATCAACAAAGGATCCTTTATTGACCAGAGCAGGACCGTGGCATTTATATATTTTTATATATATATATATATATATATATATATATATATATATATATATATATATATATATATATATATATATATAAAAGTTTGAAGATCTGGCAGGCAGTGATCCTATTGTCCGCCCACCACCCCCAGCACTGATTTCCTGCTCCCTGCACGGGGAAGGGGGAGGATGACTGCTCCACCCAGGCCACAGGGCCACACTCCCCTGCAAACAGAGGAAGAAAGGGGCTTTTCTGTAGCCACCCCCTGCACATCAGAAATCAACAAGTATTCTCTCAAAGAAAAAAAAATACAGAAATTGAAACATTTAAATATGAAAAACCAAAGGGAAGTGAGTGGGAAGAGGCAAGAGAGGAAAGGAACTGGAGTTTCTTGGGAAGGGACTCCCATGTCTCCCTTCCCATTTATGGGCTTGGGGTCTGGGGTACGAGGCTCACACAGTGAGTTTGCAGTGACACAGCTCCTTGTAGATCTGCCGACGAAGTTTGGGCATGTCCTGCTGGGTGAAGCTGAATGGCTGAGACAGGGCCAGATGCTTGCAGTACTGGGTGTTAACAAAGCAAGCCATGAGAAACCCCCCGTGTCAGGACCTGTGCTACACATTTCATATGAGATGTGTCTCCATCCTTCAGAGAACATCCCCAAAGGGAGCCAGGGTCCCACAGCCTGGGGTTCAAAAACAGCCTGACTCTAAAGCTAGTGTTCTTACTTGATAGAATGTTTTAGATGGAGAAAATACACTGAGTTGGAGGTTAGCAGGGAGCTCTATGAAGGCCAGAGGCCCAAGACTAGAGACCCAGTCCCAATGTGGGATGGAGAAGTCCAGAAGAGAACCAGTGAAGCCAGTGTTTTGGTGTTCTAAAACAGATTACTTCCTGCTCCACAACTGACTATGAGCCAAATGAGGGGATGCATAACAGCCTCCCGACCCTTTAACCCAACTGACTTCAGAGCTAGGGGAGGTGGCCCCATCATCTGCTTACCTGCAACACAAAAGCACCACAGTCACTGTCATTATTCTGCCTGGCCACATTCTAGAGAAGAGAAAGAAAGCAGGCCCTTCACATGGAGACTCCCAGGGGTAGGACTTCAATTTCTGCCTTCTACCACTGTCCCCACCAACACCCTATACCCCTCCCTCAGGAAACTCACCATTTTGAAGTAACCTTTCCAGCCCTGGTGGAAATCCAGTCGGTCTTTCTTTACCGCCTCTGCCTGTAGATACTTGGCAATATGCTATGTGGATGGGGGAAAAGAAAGTGATGCCCTAAGTTTCTCAATTGAACACAGTATGGTGGGTACAGTGCTGGCAGACACCATGCCCAGGTCGCCCCTCAAAGACCCAAAGCCCACCCTTCTTCCTGCAATGCCTTGCCACTGCACCGCCCCACATTTTGCCCATCTCTCTCCTACCCCCTCAAACCTTAGGGCAGCGGCGGTTTAGGGTACGCTGCGAGTCAAAATAGGTGATGGTGCGTCGCCTCACATCAACAGAGATGAGGGACCAATGCACCTCCAGGTGGATGGGGATTAGCAGTAGCTCCTTATTGAAGATGTCCACCTAAAGAGATAGTGCCACAGGTCAGGTACAACAAACAGAAGTCTTGCCTTTTGCCATGAAGGTTCTAGAGAGGAACAGAGACACAGGTAAGGGAACCAAGTGAAAGAACAGAAGACCCAAGGCCTAGATTGTGGGCAAGCTCAGGATCTGCATGTTTCGGTTCTTCGGGGTAAGGGAGGAAGGTCAGACAATGGAGGAGACATCAGAACGAACACTGGAGAACCCATGATGGGCAGGCGCTTTTCACACTTTAAAGGGAGAAGCACTTAGCAGCTAAGAACCCAGGCCCAGGATTCTGGAGCCTGCCAGAATTCAAATACAGCTCCTCCATTTACTGGCTTATGACAGTGGGCAACCTACTTAATAACCTTCTATACCTCAGTTTCCTTATCTGTCAGAGAGTGTAAATAGTAGTACCTACACCTCATCCATTTGATATGAGGATTAAACTAGTGACTATCCATAATACACTTAGAACAAGACACAGCACAAAGTAAACACGCAGTTAATGCTCATAACAATCCTACCGGGAAGTTCTCAACATTCAACCTAACAGATGAGGAAATTGCAGCTTGGAAAGTCGTGACTTGCACAAGGTCATGAAAGAAAGAAATGGCAGAAGTGGGACTCAAACTCAGTATGAAGAAGGCCAACATGTTTTTCACTGTACGTCACCACCCTTCCCTCTACTGCAAGAAGATCCCTGAGGGTGTAAGCTCTTGATTTTGAGGACTGAAATTAAGGAATGCCGGAGCCAATCATCCTGCCTAGCTGTAGAAATTTCCTGGCCTTTGAATGGGAGGGCAGGGAAACCAGAAGAGAAAAGAACTCTTCATTTTCCTCCCCCAACCTGTTCCTCTCCCACTTTTCCCGTTACATAGGCCAAAAACCTAGGCATCATCCTCCATTTCTTTTTCTTCATTTCCCACATCCAACCTGCGGAGGAAAAAACAAATCTTTTTTTTTTTTTTGAGACGGAGTCTTGCTCTGTTGCCCAGACTGGAGTGCAGTGGCGTGATCTTGCCTCACTGCAAGCTCCACCTCCTGGGTTCATGCCATTCTCCTGCCTCAGCCTCCCAAGTAGCTTGGACTACAGACACGTGCCACCTCGCCCGGCTAATTTTTTGTATTTTTAGTAGAGACAGGGTTTCACTGTGTTAGCCAGGATGGTCTTGATCTCCTGACCTGGTGATCCGCCCGCCTCAGCCTCCCAAAGGGCTGGGATTACAGGCGTGAGCCACCGCGCCCGGCAAAAAAACAAATCTTCTTTCCTACTATACTCTCACAACACAAAATACTTCTGTAACCTGTGGTCACCAAGAAGTGTTTGTGGGGCTTTCTCTCCACCAACAACCAAGCAAGCAATTTTGCGGTGGACACAGCTGGGTATCCCCCAATTCAATTCCAACACTATCTACCTGGAGATAATGTGTCACAGGTTTAGGGCTCAGTCTCACAAGGCTGCCCCCAATTCTGATGCCAGTCCTAAGCCCCAGGTTGTTTTATCTGTGTTTCTCACCAACTGGTTAGATCAGCGTTCCCATGACCCCCTCCTTGAATTTGATTAATTTGCTAGAGCAGCTCACAGAACTCATGGAAACACATTTACCAGTTTATTAACAAAGGGTAGTACAAAGAGTACAGATGAAAAGATGCACAGGGAAAGGTACCGGGAAGAGGCCTGGAGACCATCCTGTGGGAGCCTCCATGCCTTCAGCTATCTAGAATGTCTCCAAACTCCTCCTCTCGGGTTTTTTTTTCTTTTTTGAGACAGAGTTTCACTCTGTCACCCAGGGTGGAGTGCAGTGGCACAATCTCGGCTCACTGCAACCTCTGCCTCCCGGGTTCAAGCGATTCTCCTGCCTCAGCCTCCCGGGGACTACAGGCGCACGCCACCACGCCCAGCTAATTTTCATATTTTTAGTAGAGACAGGGTTTCGCCAGGTCGGCCAGGCTGGTCTCAATCTCTTGACCTTGCGATCCATCTGCCTCAGCCTCCCAAAGTGCCGGGAGTACAGGCGTGAGCCGCCGCACCCGGCCCCTTTCCGGTTTTTAGAGGCTTCACTACTAGGCATGACTGATTAAATCACTGATCCTCAGTGATTGCCTTAACCTTTGGCCCCATTCCCCTCCCAGGAAGTTGGTGGGGGTGAGGCTGAAAGTTCCAACCCTCTAATCATGAAGCCACCTAGAGGGGCTAGCCATGAATCAACTCATCAGCACACAAAAACACACATCACTGGAGATTCCAAGGATTTTAGAAGTTGAATGCCAGGAGCCTGGTCAGGAGACCAAATATGTATCTCTCAGTATCACAGAGCCTGTCAGTCCTACTGGTTTTACTCGTAAAATTTATCCTACATAAAACTACTCTCTCTCTCTTCCTTTAGCACTCCAGTTCAAGTTTCTCACCTGGACTACTGTGCTCTGTTCCTGCTTCCATTCTTGCCCCCCTTTCAATCTGTCATTGAAACAGGAGTTTAAAACAGAAGGCACTTCTCAGCCTGCTTAAAACTCAATGGCTTCTCAGTATACACGCAATAAAATCCCCCCTCCTCAGCCTACCGTACATGTCTTACATGATCTACTCTCTGACCGAATTTTGTATCCATCTCCCTTTGCTCACTCTGCGCCAACTACACAGGTCACCCCCACAAGCCCTCTGTTCCTCAGCCATGGTTTTTCACTATGGGTCTTGTGTACTTGCTATTCCCAGGTCTGCGCATGGCTGGCTGCTCATCATTCACGTCTCAGCTATGAGAGGCCTTCCTAGATCACCCAATCTAAAGTACCCACTTCCCACGCTATGACATTACTGTGATTTTTTTTTTTTTTTGAGACGGAGTTTTGCTCTTGTTGCCCAGGCTGGAGTGCAATGGCGGGGTCTCGGCTCACTGCAACCTCTGCCTCCCAGGTTCATGGGATTCTCCTGCCTCCGCCTCCAGGAATAGCTGGGCTTACAGGCCACCTGCCATCACACAGGGCTAATTTTTGTATTTTTAATAGAGATGGGGTTTCTCAATGTTGGCCAGGCTAGTCTCGAACTCCTGACCTCAGGTGATCCGCCCGTGTTGGCCTCCCAAAGTGCTGGGGATTACAGGCGTGAGCCACTGCGCCCAGCCTCACGTTACTCTGTGTTGATCTGCCCACAGCACTTATCACTAGCTGCAATTTAACTTTAAGGGCAAGTTTTCCTTATTTAACACTGTATCCTTAGTGCCTACACACACAAGAGACGTTTAATCTTTGAAAGACTGAATGAACACGGTCAGGGAAAGGGCTCAGAGAAAACAAGACTCTCATTCTTTAGAGGCAAGGCATTACACAAGTGGATGTGAATTCAAAACTCACGTTTTTGGTCCACCTTTTCACCCCATCATAACCCTTGGTACGGAGTTTATCATAGAAGAAACTATTGAAGAAATGCACCTGTGCCAATGACACAAAAAAGCTCAATGGAATTAAAAGACCTCAGACTCTCCCACTAAGTCTCCCCTCCTCAGTCCACTGACAGTAAAAACAAATTCTGGGTTTTTTCTTTTTTTTTTGGTAGAGACAGGGTCTCACTATGTTGCCCAGGTTGGTCTCAAACTCCTGGCCTCAATCTGTCTGTCTGCCTGCCTCGGCCTTCCAGAGCATTGAGATTATAGGTATGAGTCAACAAACCAGGCTTTTTTTTTTTTTTTATTTGAGGCAGGGCCTTGCTCTGTCGCCCACGCTGGAGTGCAGTGGCATGATTTCGACTCGCTGCAACCTCCGCCTCCCGGGTTCAAGCGATTCTCCCGCCTCAGCCTCCCGAGTAGCTGGGACTACAGGTACCCGCCACTATGCCCAGCTAACTTTTTTGTATTTTTATATTTTTAGTTGAGCCAGGGTTTCACCATGTTGGCCAGGCTGGTCTGGAACTCCTGACCTCGGGTGATCCACCCGCCTTGGCCTCCCAAAGTGCTGGGATTACAGGAATGAGTCACCGCACCCAGCCGAAGTTGTTTTTTGTCTTTTTTTTTTTTTTTGAGACAGAATTCCGCTCTTGTTGCCCAGGCGGGAGTGCAATGGCGTGGATCTCGACTCACCGCAACCTCCGCCTCACGGGTTCAAGCAGTTCTCCTCCCTCAGCCTCCCGAGTAACTGGGATTATAGGCATGCACCACCATGCCCGGCTAATTTTGTATTTTTAGTAGAGACGGGATTTCTCCATATTGGTCAGGCTGGTCTTGAACTCCCGACCTCAGGTGATCCACCCGCCCTGGTCTCCCAGAGTGCTGGGATTACAGGCATGAGCTACCATGCCCGGTGGCCTTTTTCTTTTTCTTTTTTTTTTTAAATCTTGTTTTACAATAGTTACAATAGGAACCCATCCCAATCCTTGGGGCTGGCCATAGCGAAAAACACTAAATACTGGCAGAAAGGAAAACAACTGATAAATCCAGAGCCCAAGATTACGGATTTGAAATTAATACACTACCACTACCACCTCTCTCCCTGAAACAGAGACCCTCTCTGTGTAAAATGAAAGAGATGAAAGGAGCTTAAAAAGCTGCTTAAAACTGCAGAAGTTCCTCTGGGTACTGACCTATCTGGTTGGGCCTACCTTTTCAGGGACTGTGTCCATGACCAGGTCTCCATACATGTTCATCACCTGGGGAGAAGATGGGAGGCAGCTTGCCATGGAGGGTGCGGCATGGGTACAGGGCTCCCCCATGCAGAGGGCCCCAGACACCCTGCTCCCTGAATCCCCTCTCAGGCCTGTTTCTCTACCCTTTCTCACCTGGTCATTGAGCCAGTTCTGTCCATACAAGGTCCCCAAGTCATCCATGGTCAGCACGTGCCGCTTATAAGCCACTCGGAAGCCCCTCACCATGGCATTGCCTGGCATCCGCTGGTAAGACTGGATCAGCTGCAACACCAGGCCCTTCCTGAGTAGGCCAAGGGTGGAGTCACACAAAAGATGATGCAGCTGGGGCACACAGAAATACCTACTACTCCCTGGAATACAAATTCTAACTGACTCCCTTTTTTCTGGCTCATGATGGGTCCTTCTGAGGACCTGCGAAAGGCCCACTCCCCAGAAAGATAAACATGACTACTCAGGTAGAACATTTCAGGGTCCCAGGTAAAGACTCTCCCATCAGCTTCCAAGGATTTGGCACCTGCCTGCAGAGTCCTCCCCTTCAGCTCTAGCTTCCTCCTCCCCAACTACAGCCCTATGGAAGAAAAGGCAGCAGTATTCTCTCCACATCCCCAAGGCCCCAGCCCTTCTTTCAAGGAGGGCTTTCAAGCCTCACCTGGAAGGGGTGGAAAACTCCTGCTGGAAAATGTCCTCCAGCTTCTCTACTACCTCATCAGTGCTGAGGGGTATGAGGCTGCCATACGTTTGAAGGAATTCGTCCAAGATGCCTGGTGGAAAGGGAGAGAGGAGGGGGTGAGGCCTCCAGACTCTCCTCTAGGAGTCGGAGAAGGGAGAGAGGCTAGTTGCTTAAGGGCTCCTTACTCTGTACGCAGGTCACATGCTCCTCTCGCAGGGGGCTGTGCTGGCCGGCTTTCTCCCCAGGCCTCTCTGCCTCTTCTGCCATGCCCAAATCTGAGCCCTGAAAAAGCTCCTGGGCCACATGGTCCCCGATGCTGCACACATTGCTGATGAGGATGCTGGCATCAGGGGGTGCCAAGCTGCGCTCCCCTTCTGGCCCAGATTGTCCCCCAAAACCGTTGGGCAGAGTACATGAAAGGAGGCCTATAGGGCAGGGGAAATGGAATGGGCATGAGAGACTGGCCTGGGGAAAGCACAATGGGATGCACACAGTTGACTCATGCATGCAAATAAGACCGCAAGAAGGATACACTGAAGCAGAATCCACCAATGTCAATCCCACTCCAAGAAATGGGGACCCCATAAGCATGAGATAAACATGTCCAAGAGATTCTACAGGGATGGAGAGAGAGTTCCTACTCATAGACAGGAAGAAAGAAAAAGGATTAGCATTTAGAAATGAAAACTTCGGGATATTTGTCACCACTATATGCCAAACACCCAGCATAGTACCCAGCATATTGTAAAGGCTCAATGAATACTAGAATATGTAATAAAGACCTAGAGAGCCTGAAACTGTTTGGCTGGAGTTCTCCGAAAGGGAAATATTCTTTCACAACTGTAAGATGATGTACTCCACTACTGGGAGAGATCCCATCCCGTCACTTTGGGAATGGTACCCTCTGGAGATGTATACACGGGGGTTCTTATACTGAGAGGCCGACAAGGGATTTCGTGTGGACAGGATTTTTGTAAACCACATCTCCCTTTCTCATCTGCGCTCAAGACCACGGGATACCTACTTAGGGCATCTGTTTCCTAGCTCTGCCTGGGAAACTGCCAGGCTCACTCCCAGGCTTACTTTCTGCTCAAAGTGGGGCTTAATGGAGACATTTCGCAGCTCTTCTGGAGCCGGCACTCTTCCATCCTACTTTCCTTAAGCCCAGCTCTCACCATGGCAACAGGCTCCTGGTGCTCCAGGCTCTTAACCCTCCCTAACCCCTCCCCCGCAACCCCACACCCCTTTCCCACCTTACCCGAGTCAGGGTCCAGAGGAGACTTTGGAGTCCACCTGAGTCCATCTTCCTCCATGGGGGGCCCAGAGGGCACTGGTGGAGACCCTCTCACCCCATCCTCAGCCATGAGAGCACCTAGCAGACCCAGCCGGGGTGGAGGTGGCCCCCGGGGGGAGTCAAAACGACAACAGGGGGATGGCACCTGTGGCGTCGCACCCCCTTGCTGGGGTGAAAGATGGTTCTTGGGGTGTGCGAGGCCCCGCCGCCGGCCCCGGTGGCGCCCCCAAAGCTTCCAGTGGAATGTCAGCGAGGTGCTTTTTGAGTAGAGCAGCATCCGGAAGGCTCTCATGGCTCGGCGGCGGCGCTGTGAGCAGGTTTTTCGATGAGTGGGGCGGGAAGGGCGGGGCCGCTGGGAGGTTCCCAGCTGACTCCATCTTGGGGGCAGCCTCCAAGCTGCCACTTCCTCCTCTTCATCTTCATCCTCCTCCTCCTCCTCTTCTTCCTCCTCTTCACTTGCTGAGGCATCAAAAGAGGGTCGGGGGACAGGGAGGCGTCTGGCTGGCACTGTGGTCCCTGACCCAGGATCTGGCCCAAACCCTCCACCTGACTTGAGTCGGGGTTTGGGAGGTGGGGGCCAACGAAGACGCTCCCGCCTGGGACTTGAGTAAGCTGGGGGTATGCCGGGTCCAGGAGGCTCAGGCCCCCAGGACCCGGTCCCTTGTATAGTCTCTTTCATCTTCCAGTACCCTGAAAAACAAAAGATCAGGGTATCAAAATCTAAGCATCACCCCACCGCAGATCCTGCCTCTCTTCCTGGCCATGCCTCCTCTGGATTCAGATGCAAATAAAGAAAAGAGGAAAAAACGCAAAACTCCTAACTTAAGATCTTCCCGGTTAACGCGGTCCACAAGGGGCCCTTCAGGGTCTGTGCCATCATCTCTCCCCAGTCCAGAGACAAGGGAAAATGGCTAAGCAGCAGGCCTCAGAGATCTTATTTCTAAGATCACCAGGCCAAACCCAATAGCACTGCCAGGTTCTACGTCTTTATTTTAATACCACCAGGGCTGTCCTTTGAGGGCCCAACAAGGGCAGTTTCTTTCCTCAGGGACATGATAACCGTGGTACTTGAGGAGAATGCAACTTGCACGTGGAAACTGGACTGGAATGGGAGACAGTTCTCTAACACCCTGGATGAACGGGGGGCATGGGAAGGCTGCGGTCATCTCAAGTGCAGATGCCAGGGATATGGTTCAGGGGGCAGAGGCTGATAAACGGGGAAGAACTTTGAAGGAAACTTAAAGAGAACCGAATCAAGACGCTGGGACAGAACGGAGCGCACAAGCCAGGCCGGCCCAGCCCCCTCCTACTTCATCCTCGGGGACCAGAATGCAACCCGGCACCAGTCCGGTCCCACGAGCTTGGATGGCTCGGCGCACACGGGCCTTAAGAAGCCCCTATGCGGGCCTCTGGGCCCCGGTTCGGTGGGAGCGAGGCCCAGGAATGGGAGAGGCCAAGGCAGGGCTGGGGGGAGGGGAGGGGGCGTCCTCACCGGGAGCGGGGAAGCCGGGCGGACGGGCCCGAAGGCGGGCGTCTCCGGCCTCAAGCTTCCCGGCTCATCTCTCCGGCGACGGCGGCGGCCCCGCCACTCCTGCTGTCTTTAGGCGCAGCCGTCTCAATTCAGGATTCCAACGCTTCTGGGCCGCGTGCCGCGCCGCCGAGCACCCCGCCGCGCCGCCTCTGGCTCTGCTTCAGCTTCAGCTTCCACCTCCACCTCCACCTCCGCCACCGCCGCCACCAGCGCCACCGCCGCCGCCGCCACTCCTCCCCCCCTCCTCCTTCCCCTCCCGCGAGCCCCGGGCCCACCGGCAGCGGTGGCGCACGATTAGTACGTCACACCCGGCGAAGAGCGCCGGCGCGGCCACCAAGCGCGCGGTCCCGTCTACCCGAGGACGCCGGCGCCACGGGACTGGCCAGCCCAGAGCGCTACGCGAGGCTGCGCCTGCGCACATCCGCCGCCCGGCCGCGCGTGGCGGCCCCGCCACTTTCCCTTTTGCGCCGCGCTCTGTCTTCTCCGCGCTCGCGGGCCTGACCCTAGCGGCATCCCCAGTACCTTGATCCGGCGGGGGGCGCGCCACAGGAGAGCCAGGAGGGCGGGAGATCCCCGTACGAGGACCGGGCTGAGGCGAGGCAGTGGGGGAAATGGAGCCGGGGTATCATTCATTCTATTTTATTTAACTTTAAGCAGGGCTTGATCAGAAAGAAGAGCTCAGAGGAGTGAGGCAACACCAACACCAGGGCGTACGATACACCCGAGGCTCCTCCGACACCAGTTCCAGCCCGGAAGGGCTTGGAATGGCCTGCCACGCCGGGGCAATGGAGCGCGTGAAAGCCAAACCTTGGGACCCGAAGAGTAATTTGACTGCGAAGGCACCGTCATCGTCGGGCACCCCCTGTAGACGGGCGCATAATAGCTACATCTCTGGAGATAGTGATGGAAACTGGGGTCCGATAGATGGAGAGAAGGACGTAGGATAAGGCTTCTTGTGGGGTGAAGAGGCAGAGGGCACCTGGAGAGAGGTGTGGCATGGAGAACCAGGGGTTTTCCCTAGCAGAGGGCGGCTTCGTGGACTTCGGCCAACCGGCGGGTGCTTCCCTCGAGCGGCCGCTAGATGGTGGTGCTGTTCTGGATGCTTCCAGTGGGCCCCGACCAGGTCTGGACAATGCCTGGCGCCCGTCCCCCGCCCCTCATCTACACACACGCAAGAATTCGGAGCTCCATGGGGAACAGAAGCAAGATATCCGTAAAATCAAAGTCTAGGGGGTGGGAATGAAAAGGGAAAAGTGAGGAACGGGGAGCCAAACCCAGGAAGACGCCTCTGTTCCTGCACATTCCCTCTCCTTTATATACTCAGCTCTTGGCTGTCTCCAGTATGTACCCACCCTGGTCTTCCAAGCTGGGAGCCACTTTTTATAACACAATCACAGTTTCACAAACCCCAGGAAGGTTCCATGTGGAGAGAGGTTAAGTTTCGCCCTTGCCCGGGGAATTATGACACTCAGAATATCCCCTTGGTGTAAATGGAAGACACCTGAGAAAAGAGAGAAAGTAGATTCGCAGTGAAGCACAGCCATCCAGATGCCCTGTTTCCCCCTGCCTTCTCCAGCTCCACCGTTCCTCTGCCTCCTGTAAGGACCCGGCATTCTGCACTTCACTCCTCAGACCCGCCTCTGTTTAGGTTTCCAACCTCCCTCCTAGCGGTAGCTCCCTGCACTGCTACCCCCGGTCAGAGACGTCCTGCTTTCGGCTGCCCACACGGCTCTCACCTGCGCTATAGCAGCTGTTGTAGGCCCGGTCCGGGTGGGAGGGCATACTTCTTATACATCGGAATAGAGTCTCCTGCCTTCCTTGGCCTTCTCGAGACACCACCTGACCCATGGTGAAAGTCACGTCTTGAAACAGGACCTGGCAGGGAAGGGAGATGTTGAAGAAAACAGGATGGCCTGGCTCAGTTCTGGGAGGCCTCAGGAGCGCTAACGAGGGAAGAAAGAAGGGTCTGCTGGGTTTGGTATGAATAGAGGGGTCAGGAACCCTCAGTAGGGGGCCAAAGAGGCCCTCTGTGAAGCTCAGAGTGTGGCTGGGGTTACCTGGCTATACAGCAGATAAACTCCAGCATCCTGGATTCGGACACCATATCCTTGGGCCTGTAGGCCTCTCCCACGCCTAAGAGCTGGTTGCCACATCACCTCTGTCACATCGGAGTCATCTGGAGGTGAGAGTGTGTCGGTCAGGACTTCTTGGCACTCTCAGGTGCTTTTTGGTTCTTTCCCTTTCACCTATAAGGACCCCTTGAGCCCAAGTGCCAGCCCGAGTTCCTGGTTATTGCCCCTCCCCAAAGCCATTATTTAAAATAGTGCTCACCCTTGGAGGTGGCGTTAATGGGAACCAGGTGCAGGACAGAGTGCTGCTCTGAGGAGAGAAGGAGGGAATCTCAGCCGCATCCACTTTCCCCCGTTGTGCTGTTGGCAGCCTCCACCCTCACCCTGACTCGGGCTTACAATCCCCACGCTGCTTGATCACCTCCCACCCCTGCTGCACCCTGGAAGCCTCACTCTTCTGTTTTTGGGTGAGCACTGCTCTCCTTTTCCGGGATCTCTCCCCATTCTCCCAGGCTTCCAGGGCATCGGAACTCTGCTCATGGAAAGAGGGTCAAGGTTAGGTTAAGATGCGAGGGTCCCAGCCAGCCTGCCTTCCCAGCCCTCCCCTGCCCCCGAGATGCCTCAGATCTCTCACGCACCTTTTCCCAGCACCCTGAGTGTTGGTGCTGGCTGCCCTCCAGGATTTGTTAGGTATGAGAAGCATTAACCTTTAACAGTTTCCTTTCCTGGAATGGCCGCGCCCCTGACTTCCAAACCGGAGACCCTCTCTTGCACCCCCTTGAAACTTTGCAGACCAGGAGGCCCAGAGACCCCCCATGCTAACCATCCTCTCCCAGACACCCTCCTCCCCTCACTCACCTGCTCCGGGAGACTCTGCCAGGGATACCCTTCCCCATTCTGGGAGGGGCCTCCTGTCCCCTGCAGCCGGCTCACCTCTCTCCTGAGGCTCTGCAGCTCTGTTTGTTGGGTCAGCAGAGCCATGGCACAAGCCACGGCCCCCAGAGCTGCCCCCCAACTCAACCAGAGGGCAACTGAGAGTGCCGGCTCTCTGACTGGGCCCCCCATGTTGCCTGGAGGCCCTTTGGGGGCTAGCAAGAAAGGAGATGAGGCTGGCATGAGCTGGGGACCCTGCCAACAGCTGTGGTTTCAAGAGTGGGGTAGCAAGGAGGTGGCGGGGCGGGTAAGGGTACGGGCAGTGGTGCAGAAGGGAAGAAGGTTGTTACGCAAGGAGAAATAAAAAGGAACTTGAAAATAAAAAGGAGGGAGGAGGAAAGCAAGCTAAGGGTACTGTTAGTGCTCCTGGCACTCCGTCGTGGGGCCAGCGTTGCCTTGAGACCCTCCACCCTCCCTCAGCCTCAGGAGAATTAGGTTCCAGTCCCTCTAGGAAGGACAGGGCTGCCAGTGACACCCAGGAGGAACAGGCAGTGCGCAGGAACCCTGGGGCGGCCCCAGGGTTGGGGGAGGGAAGGTTGGCTGGCTAGAGGGCATTGTGCCAGGAGCAGGATGGGGGGCCAAGCTGGGCAGTGTCCAGGGTCAGGGCGAGGGTGGAAGACCCTCGGGGTCAAGCACAGCAGAGATCGCTGGGGCAGTTCACTAGGGGTGACTGAAGGTGGGAAAGGAGGGGTGGGCTCGATGGGGAGGAGAACCAGGGGCACGGAAGCAAGAAACTGGCTGAGTTCTGGGGTTAAGGCTGGGCCGGGTGTGTTGGAATAAGGCCTGCACTACTCCCTGTGCTGAAATTGGCAAGCAGGACTTCCTGTTTCCCGAGAAAAGCTCTTACATAAGGCTCTGGACGAAGAGACAAAGCAGCGGCCTCAAGCCCCCCGGCCACTGCGGGATTCCTCCCCAGCACACAGGGTTCCGGGTTCCCGTGTGCCTGCTGACTCTCAGCCCCTCCTCCAGGCTGGCTCCTGCCCGCCCCACCTCCCAGCCAGGGCCTGTGCCAGCACCTGCTGAATGTCCGAGGCCACCAAGAGGAAGGGCCCCTGCTCCTCCCAGCCAGGAAGGGATTTCCCCGCAGGAGGAAGTCTGCCTCCTAGGCCAAGGAGGCCGCTTCTGCTGTACCTTGGGCGGAGGATTGATTTTTTTCCTGGGCAGTGTGCCTTCCTACCTCTGCTCCCACCTGGGGGCTGGAGGCATGGAGGTCCCCGCCCCCAAGCCTGAACATCATCCCGGAGTTCCAGCTGTGCCGCTCCGCAACGCCCCCCTTCACGTGGCCCCCAGCTACCCTGAGAGTGTCCCCTGAGCCCCAATAAAGAGAGAGACTATGACTTATTCTATTTAATATCCATTTATCAACATTTTGTCACAATAATAATAAAAATAATATCTGTTTTAAAAATCCACAGGGAATTCTCAAGGGAGGAGCTTGTCTTGTTTCTCGCCCCTCACATTTGGGAACTCCTGGCCTAGGCCCAGTCTCTTTGGCTTCCTGCCGCCAGGTCCAGCCCCTCTTAGTGCCTGAAGTGGGGTCTTCTGGACCCATCCTTGCCCACAGAGTACAGTGAACACAATGCCCTGGGGGTCTGTGGCCAGGGGGGAGTCGAGATCACTGGGGGCCTCAAAGGGTCAGGGATTGGGGAGCTAGTGAGGTGGAGAGTGGGCGGTGGGGGAGTTGTAAGATAAGAGTGGGAATACTGTATTTATGTGGGATGGAAAACACGTGAACAGGCCCAGGCAGCCTCTAGAGGGAGGGGCAGGTCTGGAGCAAAGAGCGGCTGAGGGTGGGGCAGAGGGGACCGGGTGCCCAGAGAGCTGTCGAGGGGAGCCGGCAGCCTGGGACGACTGCGGGGAGACCAGGGCCCCTCAGTGAACCTGGAAGAGTCCGAAGTAGGTGAGGAAGGGGGCAGCCTTGAGATGGGCCCAGGGGAGGGTGCGGATCCGCAGGGAGGACCCTGGCCGCAGGGCCAACAGCCCAGACACCTGGCAGAGGCGGAGCTGGGGCCCGAGGGAACTCGCCGCAGTGGCTGAGAATTCCTCCAGGCAGCGCAGGGCCAGCACACCATCCACCAGCAAGTCCAGCTTCAGGTAGACAGCCTTCCCCTCATCAAAGTGCACCTGGGGTGGGGACAACAGGCCGAGTCCAGGCCTCTGCCTGCCCTCGCCTCAATTTCCAATTTCCTCAGCGACGCAGGCATCCCATCCCACCCAAACCCCAACTCACCCTCCCAGCCCTGTAGCTTGTCCCCCACTCTCCTGGCAAACCCTTCGCCACTCTCTTACTGCGTTACCCATGCAGCCAGATGGGGCTTACCTGACAGTACAGGTAGTAGAGCCCAGCCCGGGTGACTATAAACTCCCCGATCTGGCGGTTGTAGCGCAGAGGGCTGGAGCTGTTGATTCTGGCTTCCTCCCAGCCACTCACTGTCCCGTCCACACCTGAACACGGATGCTCAGAGATAAGGAAACGTCTCTCTACAGGACTCCCCCACACTCCCCAGGGATCCATTGAGCATATGAACATTCGGCGCCCACTTTACCCAGAAGACACATAGATCACCCCGGGCAAGGGAGGACCCATCCCCTATGATGCCCATAGTTGACTAGGAAGTTATGTGAAAAAATCTAATGTATATGGCCAGAGACATTCAGGGCAGATTGTCACCTGCAGTCACTTCTGGGGAGAAGAGTAGAACTGAAGGAGAAGCGTGAGGGGATTTAATGTTTTACTTCATGGATATCTATATTATTTGCTTCTTTTATATGGAGGATGTAAACATACATTATCTGAATTAGTACAACTAAAAATAATAAAATGAAACCCAATTGTCCATCAACAAAATGTCTATCCATATAATGGAATATTATTTGGCCATAAAAAGAGTGAAGTACTGATACACACTATGGCACAGATGTGCCTTGAAAACATCATGCTCAGCCAGGTGCAGTGGCTCACGCCTGTCATCCCGGCATTTTGAGAGGCCAAGGTGGGCGGATCACCTGAGGTCGGGAGTTCGAGACCAGCCTGGCCAACAAGGTGAAACCCCGTCTCTACTAAAAATACAAAAACTAGCAGGGCATGGTGGCAGGCACCTGTAATCCTAGCTACATGGGAGGCTGAGGCAGGAGAATTACTTGAACCTGGGATGGGGAGGTTGCAGTGAACCAAGATCATGCCACTGCACTCCAGCCTGGGCAACAGAGCTAGACTCTGTCTCCAAAAAAAAAAAAAAACAAAAAAAACGCTCACTGGGCATTTTTATTTCCACCAATGGGTTCCCACAACCTGTGCTCTGCAGAGTCTCCAGCCCTGAAGTTTCCTTCCCTTCCTTACCCTGCCAACTGCACCATCTGAACAGCAATAGCCCCTCAAACTCATCTCAACCAACACTGAGCTGACCCCCCTCATCCCACTCTTGCTTTACTGTCTGTTTTCCACATTTGGCTTCTGGTTTTGCCACCAGGGGGATATTCAAGCCTCCCTCTCCTTTACCTACATCATTAATCGATCACCAGTTCCTATCTATCCTGCCTCCTAAATAGCTCTCTCCCCTCTCTCCCCCATCTGGTGCCTCTGTCTGGTTTTCACAGCATTCCCTGTTTCCATTCTGGCTTCCTCCAGTTTATTCCCTACACAAAGCCACAGAATGAGTCTCTAAGATGCAGACGTAAGCCCGCCTCGCCTCGCCTTCCTCCTTCCGATGGCTCACCTCAGAATAGTTCCCACATGCCACCGTGTGGCCTGGCTTCTGTCTCCAGCCTCATCCCCATCTCGCTCCTCTAGCACTTTCTGCTTCTGCCACGCTGAACTTAGAGTCCCCCAGCCTCATCATGCTCTGGGCAAACCCGGGGCTTTTGCCCCAGGGGCTGCTTCTGCTTGCACCCACCATTCTTGACCCCTTGCCTGTCTTGTCTTACGCTCCTGCTTCAAGGCCCAGCGGCACCTTGCGATGCAGGGAGAGAATCCCTGACTCCACAGCCATGTCTGTCTTCCCCTGTGTTGCCAGGTATCTTGGCCACTTTTATTATTGTTCTTGTCATATTCCACTGTAATTACAAATTTTTTTTTGAGATGGAGTCTCACTCTTGTCACCCAGGCTGGAGTGCAGTGGCACAATCTCGGCTCACTGCAGCCTCCGCCTCCCGGGTTCAAGTGATTCTCATGCTTCAGCCTCCTGAGTAGCTGGGATTACAGGCATGTGCCACCAAACCTGGCTAATTTTTTTTGTATGTTCCTGTAATTACAAATTTATATGCTTGTTTCCTCTCCTAGACAGTGACTCCTTAAGAGTTGGTCTGAGGCTGGGCACAGTGGCTCACGCCTGTAATCCCAGCACCTTGGGAGGCCAAGGTGGGTGGATCACGAGGTCAGGAGATCGAGACGCTCCTGGCTAACACGGTGAAACCCCGTCTCTACTAAAACATAAAAAAAAAATTAGCCAGGCGTGGTGGCAGGCGCCTGTAGTCCCAGCTACTCGGGAGACTGAGGCAGGAGAATCACTTGAACCCGAGAAGGCTGCAGTGAGCCGAGATGGCGCCACTGCACTCCAGCTGGGGCAACAAGAGCAAAACTCCATCTCAAAAAAAAAAATGGGTCTGACCGGCTGGGCGCGGTGGCTCACGCCTGTAATCCCAGCACTTTGGGAGGCCGAGTTGGGTGGATCACGAGGTCAGGAGATCGAGACCATCCTGGCTAACACGGTGAAACCCCGTCTCTACTAAAAAATAAAAAAAAATTAGCCAGGCGTGGTGGCGGGCGCCTGTAGTCCCAGCTACTTGGGAGGCTGAGGCAGGAGAATGGCATGAACCCAGGAGGCGGAGCTTGCAGTAAGCCGAGATCGCGCCACTACACTCCAGCCTGGGCGACAGAGTGAGACTCCATCTCAAAAAAAAAAAAAAAAAAAAAAAAGAGTCTGGATATTAGTTGCTGTGGGCACCTAGCCTGGCCCCTAGCAAACAGTAGGTCTTCAATGCCTGTTGAGTCAATGAATGAATGAATGTCTGGATAATTGCCAAAATAAGTGGTCTATACAGAGGGGAGGAAGGCTGATCTGGGCATGAAGAGTAGGGAGGGCAGAGAAGAGAGGGCATTCCTAGCTACGAAGCCAGCCTAAGCAAAGGCTGCTTGTAGCCTAAGGGCATGGTGTGCCCAGGAGCACGGAGGGCTTGCCTGGTATATCACTTGTCTCCAGCCACAAACCTCACCTGGACATTCCGTCCTGCCTGGCAATCTTACATTCCCCCACGAAGCTTGCTTTCATAATCAGCAAGTTGAGATTTTGTACCATTTCTCCTCAAATCTCCTGTCTCCATCTCCCTAGTTGTCCAGAGGACCTAGAAGTCATCGAGCAAAGGTTCCCTCATCTCCCCCCAGCAAATCTACAAACCCACCTGGTCTCTTGTTCTCCTTTGACCCTCTGGTAATGGTGGGAGATGTGTCCTCTCTTCTTTCTGGAAACTTCCCTCTCCCCTTTTTGGATGTGGCCCCTGCATGGACCCCTCACCCCTGCACCAGCCACCTCGCCTTTCATGCAGACCATGTCCAGTACACAGGCACATTCTAGCTGGGTTCAAATCTTGGCTCCACCACTTAGTATCTCATGGCCTCAGACAAGTTGTGTAACCTCCATCTGTAAAATGGAGGTAATTAGAGTATCTTCCTTTTAGGGCTGTTGTGAGGATTAGATAAGACCAAACACAAGTGCCAGACACAGTGCCTATCTCAAGAAAGCCCTCAGTACATGTTAGATCAGATGAAAATAGTATTGTTCACAGAACTAAACTTTTCCTTGGTCCACACACCCCTCCACCTACTGGCCTATTTCTCTGCTCCTTGTTACAGAGAAACTTCTAAAAAGGGTTGTCCTAGGCCGGGTGCAGTGGCTCATGCTTGTAATCCCAGCACTTTGGGAGGCCGAAGCGGGTGGAACACCTGAGGTCGGGAGTTTGAGACCAGCCTGACCAACATGGAGAAACCCTGTCTCTACTAAAAATACAAAATTAGCCAGGCGTGGTGGCGCATGCCTGTAATCTCAGCTACTGGGGAGGCTGAGGCAGGAGAATTGCTTGAACCCGGGAGGTGGAGGTTACGGTCAGCCGAGATCGTGCCATTGCACTGGATCCAGCCTGGGTGACAAGAGTGAAACTCTGTCACAAAAAAAAAAAAAAAAAAAAAAAAAAAAAAAAAAAAAAAGGTTGTCCCTGCCTCCAGTTCCTTATTTCTCATTTTCTTCTCAACCCAATGCACACTGCCTTCCTGTTCTAACTATGCCACTGAAACCACCCTCTTTAAGGTCAGCAGGACTTTCACGTTACCAAACCCAGCCATCATTTCTCTGTTCTCATTTCATGTGATCTCTCAGCTGCATTCAACACAGACAGCCACATCCTCCTTGAAACAGTGGTTTCTCCGAATCCAGGATGCCACCCTCCCTGGGTTTCTTCCTCTCTCTCCAGCTTCTTTTCAGTCTCTGCTGGTTTTCCCCTCAGCTCCACTTCAAGATGCCCAAGAGTCTCAGGGCTTCATTCGTGGGGCCCTTCTTTCTCCTGGCGTCTCACCCAATCCTGTGGCTTTAAATGCCATCGATAGGCCGGGCACAAGGGCTCACACCTGTAATCCCAGCACTTTGGGAGGCTGAGGCTGGCGGATCACCTGAGATCAGGAGTTCAAGACCAGCCTGGCCAACACGGTGAAACCCTGTCTCTACTAAAAAATACAAAAATGAGCTGGGTGTGGTGGCACCCGCCTATAATCTCAGCTACTTGGGAGGCTGAGACAGGAGAATCGCTTGGACCCAGGAGGCAGATGTTGCAGTGAGCCAAGATCGAACCACTGCACTCCAGCCTGGGTGACAGAGCGAGACTCTGTCTCAAAAAAAAAAAAAAAAAAGCCATCCATATGGCCATGACTCCTGGCTTTATCCGTCCTGACCTAGCCTAAGCTAGTCGACAATGTCCAGCCATCCATTTCTGGAATTTACTTTATTGTCATTTATCCGCTTGTTTATTTTAGACTTCTCAACGTTAATAATTATCTTACATACTTCCCAACCTATTTATTCCTTGGTCAATCCCTTCTTAGGAAATGGCATCATTCTTCCCAGAGATACCCAAGTTAAAAATCTAGAAGCTGGCTGGGTGCAGTGGCTCATGCCTGTAATCCCAGCACTTTGGTAGGCCGAGGCGGGCAGATCACTGGAGGTCAAGAGTTTGAGACCAGCCTGGAAAACATGGCAAAACCCCATCTCTACTAAAAATACAAAAATTAGCCAGGCGTGGTGGCACACGCCTGTAATCCCAGCTACTTGGAAGGCTGAGACGGGAATCTCTTGAACCTGGGAGGCAGAGGTTGCAGTAAGCCGAGATTGCACCACTGCACTCCAGCCTGGGTGACAGAGCGAGACTGTCTTAAAAAAAATAAAAAATCTAGAAGTCATCTGTGATTCCTCCCTTTCTTTTATTCTTCACCTCCAACCCATAAGTCAGTAATATCTTCAGGACACAGGCTGAACCCATCCACTTCTCACCATCTCTGCTGTGAACCCCTCGGCTGAGCACTCCTCATGCCTCCCTGCCTCTCACAGTGGAAAGACATTCTGGTGAGGGGGATGGTATGTGCAAAGTCCAGAAGAGGCACACCGGGAGCAGGGGTGTCAGCGCAGCAAACATGAAGACAGCATAAGAGTGCAGGGAAATTAGGTTGAGACCAGACCACGAAGAGACTGGAAGCCATGTAGAGAGCCAATACCACAAGAAAAGTGAAGTTTAGGGGCTCAGCATGGCAGCACAGGTCAGATGGAGTGGAGGGGTAGGGAGGGTGTGGAGTGGGGAAGCAGCAAGAGGCTGGATTTGAGGTTCTGAGGTCACGGTGCTGAGGTAGAGGGTGGGGTAGAAATGGAAAAGATGAGCAGACACTAGCAGCATTTAGAGAAAAAGATCATCAGAACGTGGAATATGGAGGAGACAGAAGAAAAAAGAATGAAAAGTGCTTCTTGGAGAAGAATGAGGGCTGAAGGAGAGAGCTGGGACAGTGATTTGCTGGGGGAACTGGGCAGAGTTCTGGGGAAGAGTAGGGGTCTTTCATGGGGTCCCACGCCTGGGTCACAGAGAGAACCAAGACCTTCATGAACTGGCTTCTGTGGTTCTGAGACTGATGGCCGGGAAGGGAGTGGGAGGTCAAAGGTTTTCAAGGGCCCTTTTCCCAGGAGGCCAGTGCTGTGTCGGGGGATGGGGTCTCACCTGCCTGCGCTCCGTCCTGTCCAGGTCGTGGATGAACTGTAAAGTACAGGAAAAGGCTGGTGAGACCTGCCCTGACCCTCTGCCACCTGCCCCTCTCCTCCTGGGTATGGCTCACCCATCACCCACCTTCATAATGGGCTGCGATCGCTCTTCGAGCCCGTGTTTTCCGGCCTTTAGGTGCTGAGGATCAAGGAAAGACAGATGAGCAAAGCGGGCCCTAGTGGGGGTCCCAGAGCAACTCTCCCAGCCCCATTCCCCTCTCAGGAACCCTGGCATCCTTATTCTTGTCCAGACTCCTGGCCTTAGAATCTCAGGCCTCATCTTCCTCAGTAAGTAGAGTGACTATAATTTGTCATCCACACTGGGATACTGCTGAGAGCAAAACGGGAAGCTGCTATTAATCACACCGAGATAACAGGTGGGGGCCAGGACAACTGCATGCCGACTTGGACACGTGGTCATCCGGCCACCCCATCATCCCATTCCTAAGTCTCTTTGCCTACCGGGGCCCAGGCCTCTGACTGCCAGGCCTAGTCTCCATCAGGATCCCAGTAGTTCTTCTAACTCATGGCCACCCTGCCTTCCTGTTTGGGGTAGGGTCTGAAGGAGCACATCCATATGACAGAAGGAGCTTCAGAGGAGGGCGAGAATCCCTAGGTTTGAGTCTTGGCTGGTTAGCTGCATGACTCTGAACTCCTTTCACCCTCCGTGCCTCAGTTTCTCCCTGTGGATAATGGTTTTTGCTCTGCCCGCTTCCTGAGGTTGGGATAGAGGGATGCTCACCACTTCTGCGAGGCCGAACTAGTCGGTTCAGGAAAGGCGCAGGATCCTGGCTTTCTTCTGTCTGGGGATTCAGTTCCTAGGGGAATTAGGGCAGGGTTCAACCACAGACTCCCAGAGATATAAAGTGAGACATACGGGGCCTGTCAGGAGAGCCACCAGCCAGCAATAGACACAGAAGTCAGGGACAGATTAAGCCCCTCAGCCAACTACAGCTGGGGCCCCGGGCAAAGGTGAAGCTGGGAGTCAGGCCCCAGTCCTCACCCTTTCCTCTAGACCAGCTACACTTTCCCACCCACACACACAACCAACGCAGACCCTGCATTCAATTGGCACATTGCACACATGCCCGCACCCAGTCACCACGCACAGAGGATACACACCCTGTACACAACCGCACCCCTCTTCCACGCAGACTCACATATCTTATACAACCACGTCACCCCCAGCCAATAAACACCTCAGACTCAGGTGGCACAACCCCAGCACAAACCCCTCACACAGAGTTGTCACCACGCACACACACCCCTGCAGACACGCACCCATGCACGCACTGTGTTCACACACACCCTGCACACACCTCGAGTACGGCTGGCACAGCTGCACACACCTGCAGCCTCGGCTGTGCACACTTCCCATGCCCCAGCAGCCTGCAGACCGCGCCCACGCCCACTCACCGACGGGTCCTGGTCCTCCTCTGCCACCAGCTCCTCCTGGGCAGGCTCCTGCTGGGAAGGAGGGAGCGTCACCCTGTGCCGCTCCACCTGACATCTCACCCTCCACCCATCCTCCCTTCCCCTTGCCTTCAGCCCACGCGGCCCCCAGCGGCCCCTCTGCAGTCTCAGCTCCTGATGTGCCCAAGAAGGGGTGCGCAGCGGGGCCTCACCTGGGCGGACAGCGATGCCCGGCTCCCCAAACTGACCACGGCCAGCAGGAGGCCGAGGCAGGCCAGCGCCAGGCCCAGGCCCAGCGCGAGCGGGACCAGCAGGGCGGTGCCCGGCTCCCCCCGGCGCCCCCTCCGCCTCTGGCTCCGACGGGCGGCCATGGGGGCGGGGGGCTGTGCCTGCCTCACCGCCCCCCCATCCCGGGACCCGAGGGATCGGGGGAGGGGGAGCCGGCGGGCGGATCGGGCCGGGGAGAGGGAGGGGCAAGGGAAACGGGGCGGGAGGGGGCGCTGGGGACAGGAAGCCGGACGCTGTGTGTGATCAAACTCCGAGCCTCTCGCCGGGCGCTGTGCGCGCAGCGAACGGAGTGGGCGCCCACCCGACCTCTGAGCGCCCAGCCCGGGCGTGCACCACCAGGGCGAGGTCCGTTGCGTGCGGCCGCGGGAGCGACGGGGCTATGCGTGTGCGGGCACCTCCTGCGGGGAGGTGGGGAACTCAGGAAGGCCTGTTGGTTCAGATTCTTCTGTGTCCCTGTGTCTTCAGAGATAAGGACCCTCCTTTCCCCCAGGTGCAGGGAGGGCGCCTCTCGCAGGAGGCTGTTATTTGCTTCTTCAGGAAAAGGGCAGGGAGTTCCAGGTTGTATGACCTGGTTCAGGGAAGAAGGGCAGGAGAAGGTAAGAAAGATCCTTCGGCTTCTGCGGTTTTCTCAAATTCCTTCAGCTTAAAACACTCACTGTGCCGGTAGCACGTTCTGAAGCCCATCATTACCAATGATTGCCAAGCATCTGAGGAGGACCAGCAGCATGCAAAAGAAACACCAAAATTGGTCCGGCAGGTGGCTTACGCCTGTAATCCCAGAAGGCCAAGGCTGGGGGCCAGGAGTTCAAGATCAGCCTGGGCAAGAGCAAGACCCCATCTCTACAGAAAAGTTTTAAAAAATTAGCCCACGCCTGTAGTCCCAGCTACTCAGGAGGCCGAGGTAGGAGGATTGTTTGAGCCCAGGAGTTTGAGGCTGCAGTGAGCTGTGATTGCACCACTACACTCCAGCCTGGGCAACAGACCTTGTCTCAAAAAGAAAGAAAGAAAGGAAGAAAGAAAGAAAGGAGGGAGGGAGGGAGGGAGGGAAGGAGGGAAGGAAGGAAGGAAGGAAGGAAGGAAGGAAGGAAGGAAGGAAGGACCAAAATTGGCTGGGCGCGATGGTTCACGCCTGTAATCGCAGCACTTTGGGAGGCTGAGGCGGGTGGATCACGAGGTCAGGAGATCGAGACCTGCCTGGCCAAGATGGTGAAACCCTGTCTCTAATAAAAATACAAAAAAATTAGCCGGACGTGGTGGCAGGCGCCTGTAGTTCCCAGCTACTCGGGAAGCTGAGGCAGAGAATTGCTTGAACCCAGGAGACAGAGGTTGCAGAGAGCTGAGATCACGCCACCACACTCCAGCCTGGGCAACACAGCAAGACCCTATCTCAAAAAAAAAAAAAAAGAAAGAAAGACCAAAATTAACAAACAAAATTTGACATTGGAGGAAACAGAGATAATTCAGGATACAAAGAGTACTACCTAATATACTTAAAGAGAGTCAAGAAAAAGCATCCATAGAGCTGGGCATGGTGGTGCATGCCTGTAGTCCCAGCTACTCAGGAGGTTGAGATGGGAGGATCACCTGAGCCTGGGAGGTTGAGGCTGCAGTGAGCTGTGATCACACCACTGCATTCCAACACGAGCAACAGAGTAAGACCCTGTCAAAAAAAAAAAAAAAAAAAAGAGTATGCAAAGAAAGAAAAGCAGTTAGAATCTCCAGAAAATTTTCAAAACTGAAATCACAATGTAAATAAGAAACAGCTGGGGCCAGTTGTGGTGGCTCACGCCTGTAATCCCAGCACTTTGGGAGGCCAAGGTCGGTGGATCACAAGGTCAGGAGTTCAAGACTAGCCTGGCCAAGATGGTGAAACCCTGTCTCTACTAAAAAAACAAAAATTAGCTGGGCACGGTGGCGGGCACCTGTAATCTCAGCTACTCGGGAGGCTGAGGCAGAGAATTGCTTGAACCCGGGAGGTGGAGGTTGCAATGAGCCGAGATCGCATGACTGCACTCCAGCCTGGGCGACAGAGCAAGACTCCATCTCAAAAAAAAAAAAAAAAAAAAAAAAAAAAGCAACAAAACAGGCTGGGCATCATGGTGTGCACCTGTAGTCCCAGCTACTGGGGAAACTGAGGCAGGAGGATCGCTTGAGCCCAGGAATTCCAGGTTGCCATGAGCTATGATCTGGGCACTGAACTCCAGCTTGGGCTGCAGAGGAAGACCCTGTCTCAAAAAAAAAAAAAGATAATAAATAAATAATAAAATAAAAATAAATAAATACGGGCAGGGCATCATGGCTCACGCCTGTAACCCTAGAGCTTTGAGAGGTTGAGACGAGAGGATCTCTTGAGGCCAGGAGTTCAAGACCAGCCTGGGCAAAATAGTGAGAACCCCTTTCCATCTCTACAAAAAATACAAGAAAAATTATCCAGGTGCGATGGCATGCTCCTGTAGTCCCAGCTACTGTGGAGGCTAAGTCAGGAGGATCACTTGATCCCAGGAGTTTGAGGTTGCAGTGAGCTATGATCACCCCATTGAACCGAAGCCTCGGCAGCAGAGTGAGACCCTGTCTCTATAAAAAATAAAATAAATAGGCCGGGCACAGTGGCTCATGCCTGTAATCCCAGCACTTTGGGAGGCCAAGGTGGGTGGATCACCTGAGGTCAGGAGTTCGAGACCAGCCTGGCCAACATGTAGTGAAACACCATCTCTACTAAAAAATACAAAAATTAGCTGGGCATGGTGGTGCACGCCTGAAGTTCCAGCTACTTGGGAAGCTGAGGCAGGAGAACTGCTTGAAATAAAATAAATAGGCCGGGCGCAGTGGCTCATGCCTGTAATCCCAGCACTTTGGGAGGCCAAGGCAGGTGGATCACGAGATCAAGAGTTTGAGACCAGCCTGGCCAACATGGTGAAACCCTGTCTCTACTAAAAATACAAAAATTAGCCGGGCATGGTGGCGCACGCCTGTAATCCCAGCTACTCGAGAGGCTGAGGCAGGAGAATCACTTGAACCTGGGAGGCAGAGGTCGCAGTGAGGCGAGATTGTGCCACTGCACTCCAGCCTGGGCGACAGAGTGAGAGTTCATCTCTCAGAAAAATAAAAATAAAAAATAAAATAAAATAAATGAAACACAAGCTATAACACAACATAATTGTATTTAATTGATACAGTATCAATTTAGGGCCTTAGTGCTTGCTTGCCACATTGTCCTTTGAGTGACACATGGATTATGGGATGGAGTGTGTGGAGAAGCAAGTGTAATTCCAGCCCATTGTTTGGCCTGAGGGTAAACAACGTTCATGTGGCCATAATAATGTAAATATCTTTGACTGGATTTCAACTTTTAGAGTCAACCTGTAGAAAAATCCAGAAGACTTAATGGCAGCAAAGACTGCAAATGCCCACAATTTTCACTTTTTTTTTTTTTTTTTTTTTTTTTTTTGAGACGGAGTCTCGCTCTGTCACCCAGGCTGGAGTACAGTGGCACAATCTTGGCTCACTGCAACCTCTCCCTCCCAGGTTCAAGTGATTCTCCTGCCTCAGCCTCCTAAGTAGCTGGGATTACAGGCGTGCACCACCATGCCTGGCTAATTTTTGCATTTTTAGTAGAGACAGGGTTTCACCATGTTGGCCAGGCTGGTCTCAAACTCTTGATCTCGTGATCCACCCGCCCTGGCCTCCCAAAGTGCTGGGATTACAGGCATAAGCCACCGCGCCCGGCCTATTTTTTTTTAAGATGGAGTTTCACTCTCATCACTCAGGCTGGAGCGCAATGGTGTGATCTCAGCCCACTGCAACCTCTGCCTCCCGGGTTCAAGCGATTCTCCTGTCTCAGCCTCCTGAGTAGCTGGGATTACAGGCACCCACCACCATGCCAGGCTAATTTTTGTATTTTTGGAAGAGACGGGGTTTCACCATGTTGGTCAGGCTGGTGTCGAACTCCCAACCTCAGGTGATTCACCCGCCTCAGCTTCCCAAAGTGCTGGGATTACAGGCGTGAGCCACTGCACCCAGCCTCTACTTGATTTTTATTATCAGGTGAATGCAGCATTTTAATTTGTAAAAAGAAAAAAATTGTACAGCAGCAAGCGTGCTGAGGAGAGGGAAAGTCATTACTCATCTCAGCCAGCGTGTGATCACACCTGCTAAAGGAAAAAAACAGGGACTGGAGCCTTGGAGACAGCAGATCATCCTCAGATCCTTTAACTTTGGCTTGAAAAATTAATTCAATACACTTAACCTTTTTGTTCTTGGTTTGCGGCCAAAGTTAAAATTAACTTGCATTTTTTAGGACACTGATAGGAAGTAACTTGGGAAACATGCAGGAAAAATACTGAAAGGAAATCTGCTAATATTTTTTATTCCTGCCTTTTTACACTTTTCTTACTTTTCACATTTTCAACCAAGATACTAAAGGAAAAAAAGGCTTTGTCATTTTCTTTTTTGTTTTTCTTTTTGGATATCCAGCTTGATTAGTATCACTTAAATGCAAGGCCATGCCTGGTGGTCACGCCTGTAATCCCAGCATTTTGGGAGGCTGAAGCGTGCAGATCACTTGAGGTCAGGAGTTTGAGACCAGCCTGGCCAACATGGTGAAACCCCGTCTCTACTAAAAATACAAAAATTATCCGGGTGTGGTGACGCATGTCTGTAATCCCCCTTACTCAGGAGACTGAGGCAGGAGAATAGCTTGAACCCAAGAGGCGGAGGTTGCAGTGAGCCGAGATCCCAGCTACTTGGGAGGCTGAGGCAGGAGAATCGCCTGATCCCAGGAGGCAGAGGTCGCAGTGATCTGAGATCGTGCAATTGCACTTTAGCCTGGGTGACAAGAGTGAAACTCCGTCTCAAAAAAAAATCACTTAAATGCAAATAAAGAATTTCACGTAGTCTGTAAGGGTAGGGACTGTGTATGCTTTGCAGGCATTGTATTTCCAGGGTCAGCAAAAGTTTGTTGAATGAATAAATATGGCCTAGCCTTCCCAGTCTGGCAGTGACTACTGAATATGGTGATAGTAGCAGCCTGAGAGTGGACAGTGACCATCCCAGTTTGCCGGGACTAAGGAGGTTCCCAGGATGAGGTACTTTCAATGCTAAAACCAGGACAGTTCTGGAAAAACCAGGATGAGTTGCTAACAGACCCAAGAGAGGACTAAATGCCACCCCCAAGCCACCACCACACTCACTTTTGGTCAAAATTCTTAAGCTTTATTTAAGCTTTAATCAGTCAATCAAACAACTCAAATCCCTGTCCTGGGCTTCTTTCTCTTTCCACTTCTACCTGCCACCTCCGTCTTCCCTAGATGTATGTCTGTCTGTATTTATCTGTTTGTTTGTTTGTTTAGTTATTTATTTATGTGAGACAGGGTCCTGTTATGTTGCCTAGGCTGGTCTCAAATTCCTGGGATCAAGGGATCCTCCTGTCTCAGCCTCCCAAGTAGCTGGGTTTACAGGCGTGTGCCATCATCCTGGGCTCTTCCCCAGACTTTACCTACCTTCTCTTCACTGATGACCCTCCTGTCCTCTTCTCCCCACTTCCCCAGTGAACATGGGCTCCACGTGGTTGGTCATCACCACAGGTCTCTCTCGTACTAAATCCAGCAGATACACCTTGGCCCTCATCTTACTTATTTGCAGCCTCTACGATTGTTTCCCACTCTCATTCTGAAGTCCTCCTTCCTTGGCCTCTTACCATTCTGCCTTCTAGTTTCCTTCACTGGTTATTTTAAGAACATAAATGTGCTATATTTAAGCTGGTTCATTCATTATATTACCAAGCTTGGTATCACAAATAGACTTCATATAGAAATGCTATAATCCTTCCTTCCCCTCCTTCCCTGCCTCCCTCTGTTCCTTCCATCCTTCCATTCCTTTCTTTCATAATAAGATGTTCCAGCTGCACCTTGTACTTCCTCAGCACCAGCCCTGAGATCAGAAGCCATTTCTTCAGGGAACGGTGCCCTTTCACGGAGAAGGATATTTAGCAACTAAGATCTGGGCACCGGGTAAACTCAGCATTCCTGGAAGTGAGGACTTTTAGCAGACAAAGATAGGATAGATACATATTGCATAAGTTCACAAGGACACTCTAATTTTGGTCCAACATCACAACATTCTGCCTCACGTCCCCTGTCCCATATATGTATCCCCTGTGTTAGTCTCGATGACAATGCTGTGTTTCCATCATTGCATTTCTCACAACTCGCACTTCTGGTCTTCCTCCCTCACTCAACCGTGAAGTTCTACTGGTTCAGGGGCCAAGTCTGTCTTGTAGACCATTGTTTCTCTGGTGTCTTGCTTAGTGCCTGACACACAGTAGGCACTTTATGTATTTGTTGAATGAATGGGTGGTCCAAGGGAATTCCCCAGGAGACTCTACCTGGGCCTTCTCTCCCTGGATAGGGGCTCCCTCTGAGCTCCACAGATGCCTGTTTTTGCCCCAGCCACACCACTATCTCATCATGTTACCATCTGGGCTCATCTGACTCTCCTACTCTCATGTCATGAGGGGGGGACCGTGGTTTACTCATCTTTGTTCCCTAGAACCTGGCTAATGCCTTACCATAGTAGTTGCTCAATAAATATTTGTTGCATAGAAGAGTGAATGATTTTGCTCAAATGCCAAAGCCAAGATATGGAAGCACCAGAATTCAAACCTGGGTCTCCAAAATGACATCCTGTCTCCATACCTGTTCCATTCCCCTCTGGACGAAGGAAGAGAGGACCCAGCCTGATAACAGTGCAGGGCTTGGTGGGGTTGCAAGGCTGGGTGGGCAATCCTGAGCCTGACCTGTTTTTTTTTTTTTTTTTTTTTGAGACGAAGTTTTGCTCTTGGTTTTGGTTTTTTTTTTTTTTTTTTTTTTGAGACAGAGTTTCACTCTTGTTGCTCAGGCTGGAGTGCAGTGTTGTGATCGCCATTCACTGCAAACTCCACCTCCCGGGTTCAAGTGATTCTCCTGCCTCAGCCTCCCATGTAGCTGGGATTACAGGCATGCACCACCATGCCTGGCTAATTTTGTATTTTGTATTTTTAATAGAGACGGGGTTTCACCATGTTGGTCAGGCTGGTCTCGAACTCCTGATCTCAAGTGATCCCCCCGCCTCGGCCTCCCAAAGTGCTGGGATTATAAGCATGAGCCACCGCAAGCGGCCTGAGCCTGACTTTCATCAGCTCCTCCGCCTTTGTACCTTCTCTGGCTATTCCAGTTTCCTGGGTCACAAGTTTCCTACCTTTATCCTCAGCTCTCCATTTCTTTTTGTTTGTTTGTTTGTTTTTTGGAGATGGAGTCTTGCTCTGTCACCCAGGCTGGATGACAGAGCGATCTCGGCTCACTGCAACTTCCACCTCCCACATTTAAGCGATTCTCGTGCCTCAGCCTCCCAAGTGGCTGGGATTACAGGCATGTGCCACTACGCCCAGCTAATTTTTCTATTTTTAGTAGAGACGGGGTTTCGCCATGTTGGCCAGGTTGGTCTCAAACTCCTGACTTCAGATGATCCACCTGCCTCAGCCTCCCAAAGTGCTGGGATTACAGGCATGAGCCACCGCGCCCTGCCTCTCCATCCATTAGATATCTGCCTCCAGGTAAGATTCAGCCCAGAGCTGGGGCTGAGTATCAGAAGGCGCTGTATTCTGGGGATTGGTGGGGCGTGTGCCCTGGACACTCTCTGCTTGGCCTGGCTCTTGGGCCTGTAGCTCACACCTGGCTGTGGTGGTGACATGGTGCTTGGCCTGATGGCAAATGTGATCGATCTGGTTTGGCCCCTGGCTCTTGGTGCCTCCCTCGGCCTTGGCCCTGGGCTGCAGCTTGACTCCGTTCTAGTTTGGCTGTGATGGCTCGGACTGTCTGGGTTCCCTACCAGCAGGAGGGAGTGCGGTAAAAGCAAACACAAGTCCTGATACCTCAGTGGCAGTTGCCTCAGACACTTTTGGGAAGTCAAATGTAAACACACAAATCAATAAAAAACAAAAACATTGTGTCTGCCAACAGCCATTAACCCTTTGGCCAGTGATGGGTGGGAAATGGGGTATCTGGGTTCTGGTCTGCACTGGCTTCTGGCTTTTGGCAAGGCCTTGAGTGGGCCCCCCAGCTCTCTGGGTCTCACATGGAAAAATGGGCTAAAAAGAAATCCAAGGCCGAGCACGGTAACTCAGGCCTATAATCACAACATGTTGGGGGTGGGTGTGGCGGCTCACTCCTGTAATCCCAGCACCTTGGGAGGCCGAGGCGGGTGGATCACAAGGTCAGGAGACCAAGACCATCCTGGCTAACACAGTGAAACCCCGTCTCTACTAAAAATACAAAAATTAGCCGGGCGTGGTGGCGGGCGCCTGTAGTTCCAGCTACTCGGGAGGCTGAGGCAGGAGAATGGCGTGAACCCGGGAGGTGGAGCTTGCAGTGAGCCGAGATTGCGCCACTGCACTCCAGTCTGGGCGACAGAGTGAGGCTCCGTCTCAAAAAAAAAAACCCAAACAAACAAACAAACAAACAAAAACACTTTGGGAGACCGAGGCAGGAAGATTGCTTAAAGCCCAGGAGTTCGAGACCAGCTATCCAGGCAACATAACCAGATCGTGTCTCTACAAACAATTTAAAAATTAGCCAGATGCAGTGGCCTGTCCCTGTAGTCCCAGCTACTTAGCAAGCTGAGGTGGGAAGATCCTGTGATCTCATGACTGCACTTTAGTCTGGGCAACAGAGCAAGACTTTGTCAAAAAAAAAAAAAAAAGAAAGAAAGAAAAAAAGGAAGGAAGGAAGGAAAGAAAGAGAGAGAGAAAGGAAGGAAGGAAGAAAGGGAGAGGCTAGGCGCGGTGGCTCACACCTGTAATCCCAGCACTTTGGGAGGCCAAGGTGGGTGGATCACCTGAGGTTGGGAGTTCGAGACCAACCTGACCAACATGGAGAAAACCCGCCTCTACTAAATATACAAAAATTAGCCGGGCATGGTTGCGCATGCCTGTAATCCCAGCTATTCGGGCGGCTGAGGTAGGAGCATCGCTGGAACCTGGGAGGCAGAGGTTGCAGTGAGCTGAGATCGAGCCACTGCACTCCAGCCTAGGCAACAGAGTGAGACTCTTAAAAAAAAAAAAAAAAAAAAAAAAATATATATATATATATATATATATATATATTTATTTATATGACAAAACCAAATGCATACGTGCAGCTATGAAAGAAATAAGCTCTGAGATATATTGTTAAGCGAATAAAGCAAAAATACAAAGATACATGTAAACACACACTCATAGAGCTTGTATTTGCACGGCCTATGTTTCTGGAAGAAGACACAGAAACTGGTACCAGTGGCTTCCTCTGTGGAAGGGAAATTGGGTATGTGGGGTCTGGTGAGAGAATTTTCACCATACACTCATTCCCATATGTATGTCTCATCTATTGTAAATAAACAAATAATTAAATGTTTTGCAAAGAAGAAGGGAATTATCAACAATTTTCAAAATGTGTGTTTTCAAAACTAACTTCAATCTAAATCTAATTGAAACCTAGGCTGGGCATGGTGGCTAACGCCTATAGTCCCAGCACTTTAGGAGGCAGAGGTGGGAGGATCACTTGAGCCCAGGAGTTCAAAACCAGCCTGCACAACACAGCGAGACCTCATTCTCCACAAAAATCATTTTTGGAACCTGGGAGGCAGAGGTTGCAATGAGCCGAGATCACGCCACAGCACTTCAACCTGGACAACAGAGCAAGACTGTCTCAAAAAAAAAAAAAAAAAGAAATCTGGCTGGGCCTAGGCCAAGCTAACTATGGGAGGAATTTAGTTTATAGTTTAACGTTGAAAAAGGATGACAGCAGTCCCTTCTCAGAAGTGACCCCTCTGGGGACTAAAACCACCTTTGTAAGACTAATAAAAGGCCACAATGATAGGATTATGGGAGGGGCATGAATTCCACTAAAATGCAGGCATAGTTAAATGATAACCAGCCGTTCTTCTGTAATTCCCTGATGCTCAGGAGTCATGTAGCCAGAGTTCACAAGATCTGTAACTTCCCCAGTTGCTTCTGTAGACAACATCACTATTTTCAAAACCTAAGATTGGTCTTTTTCAGATATTTTTCAGACATTTGCATGTGGGCAGACCAAAGGAAGCCGCCTGGATTGTGACTTATACCAAGGAGCTGACTCACCCCATCCTGATGAGATGGGATAGTTCCCTTGACCCCCCTCACGGGCAGGAACTGGAATGGCTCTTTTAACTCAGCCCACCGCTGACCACTCCTCGTGGGAGGGGGCACGTGAGCGAGTGAGTGCAGTAAGGAGCGAACAAATGCCGGAACCAGCCAGTCACTCCTTTCTGGTGGGAGCAGGCTGTGTGCAGCCCCGCAGCAGCGTCCAAGAGTGTTACGACCGATGCTTTTTCAGCTCTGCCATCCAGGAACAGCCAAGTACCAACCAGCTCAGCGGAGGGTCAAGGTGGCAGCCCCTACCCGCTCAGCACCCAGGTTCTGTCCATCCAGCATCCAGGAAGAATCAGGCCACTTGAATGTCTGAAGTTAGCCGCGTCTATCTGTAGTCTCCGACGCTCAGATGCTTCTCTGCTCGCCACTCAGCTGCTTGTATCCTCAATACTTAGCTGCTTGTGTTGCTCTGCCAGCTGAAGTCTTTTATGGGCACAGGATGGGGCGGAGCAGGCCAAAAAGGCAACATTTGGGTGGGAAAACGGGGTCAGCTGTTTTCATTTAGGGCTAGAGTTCCAGGATCAAGGGTGGGGTTTACCTGGGAGCCCAGCTCTTCTGTATCACTGTGACCCCCCACCCAGAAACTGACTCAGTGCGGAGAAGACAGTTTGGACACTTCTATTATTTCATACCCAGCCAGCAGCGCCCCTTCCCTAGCCCCCAACACCACATTATTCTTAAAAACCCTAACTTCCAAGTTCTTGGGGAGGTGGATTTGAGAAAAATCTCCTATCCTTCCACTTGGCTGACTCATGATAAACTCTTTCTCTGCTGCAACACCACTGTCTCAGTGAATTGACTTTATCTGTGCAGCAGACAAGAAGAATCTGTTAGGCTGTAACACTGGGACAAGTAGGACTGAGGCCTCCACCTCTGCCCTTGTCTGTGGCTGAATTGTTAGGCTTTTCAGTTGAAATCAACAAAAAGCATCCCTAGACCTAAACAGAAAAGGAGTTTATTGGAACGTCACAGGTACCTCCCAGAACTATCAGGAAGGCAGGATAACCAGGCTCAGGAAACAAGCTGGGTCAAGGCAACTACAGCATGAACAGGGGCAAAGCTCACTGTAGAGCTGGTCTGGTGAGGACATAGCCTCCTCAGGCCCTGCAGGACAAACACTCATGCCAGCACGGCCAGCACCACTGGCCCTGGATGCTGGAGTCCGCTGCCACCCCAGGATTGAGGATCTTGTTATTTCCTTGTTGGCCTCACTTGCCTTCAAACCAAAGTCTGAGGGGAGTTGGTTCCCCAGCTTATCCTTGGTCACAGGTTCCCGATCAGCTGCAAGGGATGCTGGGAATGTACAGTTCCGGCTTTGGGGCCCCTGCAGAAGGTGGAAGCCTCTACCCGCCTGCAAACATGCATACGGCTTGTAGGGACCAAGGGAAACTTCCCCTTCGCCCTCTGAAGGTTTGCTGAAAAATCAACTCACAAAAGGTAGATTAATTGGAGAAAAGGCGTATAAATGTTATTAAAGTGTACTTGGGGGAGAACCACAGAATGATTGCCCACCTCCCAGTGTGGTTGTGAAGCTTACATACCCTACTGGCAAAACAGGTTATGGGAGGAGGGAGAAGAGGAGTTCTGTTGAGGGGACTACTAGGAAGAATGAATGGATCGGGGAACGGAGATGAACTTGTACATTATTTTGTGAAAGAGTTTTTTCAGGTGAGGTTACATTCTTGGTTTACAGAGAAGAGAAGAAAAAAACAATTGTTACTTCTGGTGGGTCTGGATTTTAGGCCGATAAAGGAACTTCACTTTGGGAAAGATGGTGGTGAGCAGGCAAGGTCAGAGAGATCTTGCGGCTCCTTGAGTTCTGTGTGTCAAAGCACCATATGCTGGTCTGAGTGCATTGGTGTTTACAACTAATTGATCACAACCGGTTACAGATTTCTTTGTACCTTCTCCACTCCCACTGCTTCACTGACCAGCCTTAAAAAATAAAAAATAGGCCAGGCGCGGTGGCTCATGCCTGTAATCCCAGCATTTTGGGAGGCTGGGGTGGGCGGATCACGAGGTCAGGAGATAAGAGACCATCCTGGCTAACACAGTGAAACCCCGTCTCTACTAAAAATGCAAAAAATTAGCCGGGTGTGGTGGCGGGCGCCTGTAGTCCCAGCTACTCTGGAGGCTGAGACAGGAGAATGGCGTGAACCCAGGAGGCGGAGCTTGCAGTGAGCTGAGATCGCACCACTGCACACCAGCCTGGGCGACAGAGCGAGACTCCGTCTCAAAAACAAAAAAAGACAGGGTTTTGCCATGTTGGCCAGGCTGGTCTCAAACTCCTAACCTCAACTGATCTGCCTACCTCAGCCTCCCAAACTGCTGGGATTATAGGCGTGAGCCACAGAGTCGGCCCTAGGCCATCTTAATTACAATAGTTTGAAAATAAATCTTGGCCGGGTGTGGTGGCTCATGCCTGTAATCCCAGCACTTTGGGAGGCCGAGGCAGGCAGATCACCTGAGGTCAGGAGTTCAAGACCAGCCTGACCAACACGGTAAAACCCCATCTCTACTAAAAATACAAAGTTAACCGGGCATGATGGCGCATGCCTGTAATCCCAGCTACTCAGGAGGCTGAGGCAGGAGAATGGCGTGAACCTGGGAGGCAGAGGTTGCGGTGAGCCGAGGTTGTGCCACTGCATTCCAGCCTGGGCAACAAGAATGAAACTCCATCTCCAAAAAAAAAAAAAAGAGAGAATGAGAGATTTCTGCATATGGTTGGAGGCTCCTACTACCTTAGTATAAAGGCACTGATAAAACAAAAACAAAACACATTTCACAGAAGGAAGCAGCAAGAAAGCTTGCCTGTATTAACCTTGGATGGAAGAAAAAAAAATCTCCCCTGAGAATTTGAAATCAGTCCTCCCATAGTTTGTGCTCAAATGAACATATGCTGCGTGAGTAGCCCAAGAAAATGCCAACGACAGAATCGAAAGGGTTTCTGGGTTGGTGGCACACCCAGGGGCCAAGCAGAAGCAAATACAAATTCTCTCTAGAGGAAAGTCACTTCAATCAAAGACTCAAAATTCTCCCACAGATAAAGTTCCAAGGAAAAAGAAAGCAGTTTATGACCCGGCGCGGTGGCTCACGCCTGTAATCCCAGCACTTTGGGAGGCTGAGGCGGGTGAGTCACGAGGTCAGGAGTTCGAGATCAGCTTGGCTAACACGGTGAAACCCCGTCTCTACTAAAAAAAAATACAAAAAATTAGCTAAGCGTAGTGGCACGTGCCTATAGTCCCAGCTACTCGGGAGGCTGAGGCAGGAGAATCGCTTGAACCTGGGACAGGGAGGTTGCAGTGAGCTGAGATCACACCACTGCACTCCAGCCTGGGTGACAGAGTGAGACTCTGTATCAAAAAAAAAAAAAAAAAAAAAAAAAGGGCGGGCGTGGTGGCTCACGCCCGTAATCCCAGCACTTTGGGAGGCCGAGGCGAGCAGATCACCTGAGGTCAGGAGTTCGAGACCATCCTGGCTAACACGGCGAAACCCTGTCTCTACTAAAAATACAAAAAAATTAGCTGGGCATGGTGGCACATGCCTGTAGTCCCAGCTACTCGGGAGTCTAAGGCAGGAGAATCGCTTGAACCCGGGAGACGGAGGTTGCAGTGAGCCGAGATGGTGCCACTGCACTCCAGCCTGGGCGACAGAGTGAGATTCCATGTCCAAAAAAAAAAAAAACTTGTTAAGAACAGTGAGAGGCTGGAACTTGCTCCGTAAGTTACTCTCTATCCACACCCCACACTCCCACTAAGCTCTGTCTGATGGAAGTTCCAGTCTGCCCAGGTGTGAGCAAAAAGATAGGGCTGCCTCTCCCCTCAACTCCCAATCAGGGAATACAGTGGACAGAGGCTTCACCCCACCTATGGTGGGCCAAGAATACTGGAACCCTGATTGTCCTCACCCCAGCTCACTCATTGGGCAGAGGCTCTATGCCAAGGAAAGGCAAGCTGAGAAGATCATGGCTACCACCCCTGCCCAACATCCAGAGTAGTGGCTCAGAAATTTTGCCTAGGGGGAGAGGCAGTGCATAAGAACGTGAAGATCTGACAGTGTCTACAAACAAACTGACTTTATTTGAAATAGAGTGGAGGGAAGATCAAGTCTATGGACGCACGCTAAAATAATGGAGATTTTGGTGATAAACAAATAAGAGAAGGCTGGTAGAATTGGCCCTTGAACAACATGGATTTAAACTGCACAAGTCCACTTATATGTGGATTTTTTTTTTTTTTTTTTGAGCTGGAGTCTCGCTCTGTCACCCAGGCTAGAGTGCAGTGGCGCAATCTTGGCTCATTGTAACCTCCACCTCCCGAGTTCAAGCGATTCTCCTGCCTTAGCTTCCCAAGTAGCTGGGATTACAGGTGCACACCACCATGCCCGACTAATTTTTTTTGTATTTTTAGTAGAGACGGGGCTTCACCGTGTGGGCCATGGTGGTCTTGATCTTCTGACCTTGTGATCTGCCCACCTTGGCTTCCCAAAGTGCTGAGATTACAGGCGTAAGCCACTGTGCCCAGCTATATGTGGATTTTCTTCTGCCTCTGCCACCCTAAGACAGCAAGATCAACCCCTCTTCTTCCTCCTCTTCCTCCTCAGCCTACTCAATGTGAAGATATGGATGAAGATCTTTGTGATGATCCACTTGCGCTTGGTGAATAGTAAATATATTTTCACTTTCTTATGATACCAGTGGGCTGGAGGAGATCGCCAGATGGCGGTGGGACCTTGACCCCAGCCAGTGTCCAGGCTCTTGACATCGTTGAATTCTAGGATGAGTCAGAAAATAGTGAAACTAAGGAGATGTACCTGCTCAAGCAAGGGGAATACAGGCGTATTCACACGGAGTCTTGAGTAACCAAGTTGGGGACTGCTACCTTTACGGATTTCTTTAACCAAGGGGTGCAATATTCATGAAAATTTCAAAAAAAGGTGGAGATTTCTCAGAAATGTGGCGCTACACATTTGTATACGAAATACGGGTGTTCTCAGAACTGTCCCAGCGCTGGTGGGTGTGTGTTTAGCATGTTAATGAGCATGTAATGAGGTCCTAGGTGAAACCTAGGTTGAACCCAGCACCATGTTGGGCCCAGTCTGTCTTAGCCAGTTTGGCCCACACCCTGTTTTTTAGGGTCTTATCAGCCCACAGCCCCTAGTCATGTGAAAATGCTGCCTGGAATTTTTTTTTTTTTTTTTTTGAGACGGAGTCTCCCTCTGTCACTCAGGCTGGAGTGCAGTGGCGCAATCTTGGCTCACTGCAACCTCTGCCTCCCAGGTTCAAGCAATTCCCTGCCTCAGCCTCCCGAGTAGCTGGGATTACAGGCTTCCACCACCACACCCGGCTAATTTTTGTATTTTTGTATTTTTTTTTTTAGTAGAGACAGGGTTTCACCATCTTGGCCAGGCTGGTCTTGAACCCCTGACCCTGTGATCCGTCTGCCTTGGACTCCCAAAGTGCTGGGATTACAGGTGTCAGCCACCATGCCCAGCCTGCCTGAAATTTTTATTCTCCTGTGACCACCTTGTATTATTCCTGTCTCTTTTATATTTTTATCTTTTTAATTATACGCACACACACACACACACACCTGCACACACACACGCACACACACATATCTATGTTTATGTTTGTTTAAGAGACAGGGTCTCACTATGTTACCAAAGCTGGTGTCAAACTTCTGGGCTCAAACAATCCTCCTGCCTTAGCCTCTTGAATAGCTGGGATTATAAACATGTACTGTTGTTCCTAGACCAAACTGAGGGTTGGGCTGCTATTTCTTGTGGCCCAGTAATGAGATGCAGATGAACTGGGGAGGAATAGAGTTTTTATTTGTGCAACCGGTTACAGGGAGATGGTCTGGAAATTATCACCAGACAAACTCAAAATTATAAAGTTTTCCAGAGCTTATATACCTTCTGAGCTATATGTCTATGTGTAAGTGTGCATTCCTCTAAAGACATACGTGATTAACTTCTTTATATATATATTTTTTGAGACACAGTTTCACTCTGTCGCCCAGGCTGGAGTGCAGTGGCACGATCTTGGCTCACTGCAACCTCCACCTCCTGGGTTCAAGGAATTCTCCTGCCTCAGCCTCCCGAGCAGCTGGGACTACAGGCATGTGCCACCATGCCCAGCTAATTTGTTTTGTATTTTTAGTAGAGACGGGGTTTTGCCATGTTGGTCAGGCTGGTCTCGAACTCCTGACCTCAAATGATTCGCCCATCTCAGCCTCCCAAAGTGCTGGGATTACAGGCATGAGCCACTGTGCCGAGCTGGTTAACTTCTTTTAATCTATAACTAAGGTCTGAGTCCTGAAGACCTTCCTCTGGAGCCTCAGTAAATTTACTTAATCTAAATGGGTCCAGGTGCTGGGGTGATTACCCTTATCTTGTTTCCTGCTAAATCATGGAGGTTTGGGGAGTTCCTTCAGACCCCCAGTAAACTTGTTTGTGGAGGCCTGGAGAGTTTCTTCAGACCCACAGTAAAATTTATTGAATCCTAAATGGGTCTTGTTAAGAATTCCTTCGTTATTTTGTCATGCTTTAAGGCCCAGGAAAGGCCTAGGCAAAACTCTTGGTGGGCTTTTCTTACGTTCCAGCCTTTGTATAAAGGCACTGGCTTTTAATATTTAACTTAACTACTCAATCAGTACTGAAACAGTTGCTATGGAGGCCTGCATTAGTAAGACCTGGCCTGCCACAGTACCACCACGCCCAGCCCTTATGATTTTATCTGTCACACAGGCTGGAGCTTGGTGGCACCAACATATCCTACTGCAGCCTTGAACTCCTGGACTCAAGTGGTCCTCCTGCTTCAGCCTTCAGAGTAGCTGGGACTACAGGCGCATGACACCATGCCTGGCAAATTTTTAAATTATTTATAGAGATGGGGTCTTGCTATGTTGCCTAGGCTGGTCTCTAACTCCTGGGCTTGAGCGATCCTCCAACCTTGACCTCCCAAAGTGTTGGGATTACAGGCATGAACTACCATGCCTACCCCATGATTTTCTTAATAGCATTTTCTTTTCTCTAGCTTACTTAATTTTAACAATATAGTATATATATAAAACATAAAAAATACATGTTAGTCTTCTACTATGTAATTCGTAAGGCTTCCAGTCAATAGGAAGCTATTAGTAGTTAAGTTTTTGGGGAGTCAAAAATTTTTTTTCTTTTTCTTTGCTTTTTTAAAATTGAGATAGGGTCTCACCGGGCGCGGTGGCTCACACCTGTAATCCCAGCACTTTGGGAAGCTGAGGCGGGTAGATCACCTGAGGTCAGGAGTTTAAGACCAGCCTGACCAACACGGAGAAACCCTGCCTCTATTAAAAGTACAAAATTAGCCAGGCATTGTGACGCATGCCTCTAATTCCAGCTACTTGGGAGGCTGAGGCAGGAGAATCACTTGAACCCGGGAGGCCGAGGTTGTGGTGACCCAAGATCGTGCCATTGCACTCTAGCCTGGGCAATAAGAGTGAAACGCCATCTCAAAAAAAAAAAAAAAAAGAGAGACAGGGTCTCACTCTGTCACCCAGGCTGGAGTGCAGCAATGGAAACATGGCTCACTGCAGCCTTGACCTCCTTGGCTCAAGCAATCTTCCTGCCTCAGTCTCCTGAGTAGTTGGGACCACAGGTGCATGCCACCATGCTGAGCTAATTTTGTATTTTCATAGAGACGGAGTCGTGCCTTGTTGCCCAGGCTGGACTCAAACTCCTGAGATCAGGCAGTGCACCTGCCTCAGCCTCCCAAAGTGCTGGGATTATAGGCACGGGCCACCACGCACAGCCTTTTTCTTTGTTTGTTTGTGTTTTGTTTGCTTTTTTTTTTTTTGAAAAGGGGTCTCACTCTGTTGCCCAGGCTAGAGTGCAGTGGCGTGATCTCAGCTCACCACAACCTCTGCCTCCTGGGTTCAAGCAATTCTCGTGCTTCAGCCTCCCGAGTAAGTGGGACTACAGGCATGCGCCACCATGCCTGGCTAATTTTTGTATTTTTAGTAGAGACAGGGTTTCACTATGTTGGCCAGGCTGGTCTGGAACTCCTGACCTCGTGATCCACCCACCTTGCCCTCCCAAAGTGCTGGGATTACAAGCAGGAGCCACCGCACCCAGTTCTTTGTTTTTTTCATTCTGCTTTTTTTTTTTTTTTTTTTTTTTGCGGGGCGGGGGAGAGGGAATAAAAAAGTATACATGCGGTTTTGACTCTGCAGAGGGGTCAGTGTCTCTAATCCTTAGAGACACTGGTTCTTCAAGGGTCAACTCTAGTTTCTCTTAAGAGCAACAAGTTAAGCCATAAGCCAGCTAGATCACCAGAGGGAACTTAACTGATTGAGTGGTTAAGTTAAATATTAAAAGCCAGTGCCTTTTATATTTAAAGATATAAAATAGGGGAAAGATCCTAAGAAGAGCACTCTTGAGGTCAGAACAAAACTCAAAGACTTGCCTCAAAAACCATCCCTGCCAGAAATTAATTGAATCAGACTGTGGAGGAATTTATGCCTCAGGACATTGTCAAAAATAATAGAGCAATCAGCTTGCAGTTAGTGGAGCTTAACAGCTGGGTGTGGGGAAAGAGACAAAGAGAGCCCTGCTAAAACCACTATTATCTTACTGTGACTACAGGTACACTCAAGGCTACATCTTCTGAAGAATGACACCAAAGACTTCACAATATGGGGGAAATAGACTTCACTAAAATAATCTAGTCAAGTCACTAAGCAAACAAGCAAAAAACAACAGAAACAAGCCCTACAGAGAGGAAAGAGGAATTAGAGTTGCTAATATATTATTATCATTATTTTGAGATGAAGTCTCACTCTGTTGCCCAAGTTGGAGTGCAGTGATGCAATCTCAGCTCACTGCAACCTCAGCCTCCTGGATTTCAGTGATTCTCTTGCCTCAGCTTCCCGAGTAGCTGGGATTACAGGTGCGCCACCACGCCTGGATAATTTTTGTATTTTTAGTAGAGATGAGGTTTCCCCTTGTTGGCCAGGCTGGTTTTTAACTCCTGACCTCAGGTGATCTGTCCACCGTGGCCTCCCAAAGTGCTGGGATTACAGGTGTGAGCCACCATGCCCAGCCTAATATATTATTTTACATATCCAGTTTTAGGCCAAAAAAATTATTAAGATTTGCAAAGAAAAAAGAAAGCGTGACATATACACAGGAGCAAAAAAGTAGGCAACAAAAACTGCCCGTGAGAGAGCCCAGACATTTGATTTAATGGAAAAGATTTCAAAGCACTTATTATAAATATGTTCAAATAACTAAGGAAACCATGCTTCAAGAAGTAATGAAGACTAGGCACAGTGGCTCATGCCTACAATCCCAGCACTTTGGGAGGTTGAGGCAGGAGGATCACTTGAGCCCAGGAGTTTGAGAACAGCCTGGTCAACATAATGAGACTCTGTCTCAAAATAATAATAATAATAATAATTAATTAATAAAAATTAAAATTGGCTGGGTGCAGTGGCTCATGCCTGTAATCCCAGCAATTTGGGAGACTGAGGCAGGCAGATCACCTGAGGTCAGGAGTTCGAGACCAGTCTGGCCAACATGGCAAAACCCCATCTCTACTAAAATACAAAAATTATCCGGGTGTGGTGGTGCACGCCTGTAATCCCAGCTACTCGAGAGGCTGAGGTGGGAGGATTGCTTGAACCCAGAAGGTGGAGGTTGCAGTGAGCTGAGATCACACCACCGCACTCCAGCCTGGGCGACAGAGTGAGACTGTCTCCAAACAAAACAAAACAAAACAAAACGAAACAAAAAAACCCAGAAATTCTATGTGTGAAGTATGAACATATTGACTAAATTCAAAAGGGTGTTATATGGTTTTTCTGTAAGTTGAGCATTGAAATAAAAGCACAACAAGACACTCATAAGGCACTAATCTGCTCTTTAACAAAATTTGTAAAGGGTTATAAAAGGTTTTTGCTCTTTTAAATTTCTGAGTCATTTTAGCAAAATAAATAACTTGTGGTAATTTGGAATTCTATTTCATAACATCAAGTGTTTTAAACCTCTAACATATTTAACAGGCTTCCAGAAATTAAACTTCCATTACAAAATTGCCTTTCCTGATGGCTGGCTTTTGGATGCTACAGAGGGCCCCTGCAGTATCCAAAAGAGAGGTAAACAGAATTATTTGACAAGTTTAGTTACATGGGATTGCCAAAATGGTGTCCAATCTTCTTTAGGTTATATTCTGGTGAATAATACTAATGTATGTTCCAAAATTGTGTGGGATTTCTAAAATTCTAATGTCTAAAGTATATGCTATCAGTCATAATTAAGGTTGTTAAGTTATTGTAAACCACAGAGATAACCAAAGTTCTTTGTCAATTGTGTTTCTAACTGTAACTACCCTGGACATTTTGTTATTCACAGACAATTGTTGTCTTGTTTTGATCCTTTTCATAAGCTACAGGACTCTGCAGCCATAAAAAGAATGGGTTCATGTCCTCTCCAGGGACATGGATGAAGCTGGAAACCATCATTGTCAGCAAACTAACACAGGAACAGAAAACCAAACACCACATGTTCTTACTCATAAGTGAGAGTTGAACAATGAGAACACATGGACACAGGGAGGGGAACATCACACACTAAGGCCTGTCAGGGAGTGGGGGACAAGGGGAGGGAGAGCATTAGGACAAATACCTAATGCATGTGGGGCTTAAAACCTAGATGATAGGCTGGGTACGGTGGCTCACGCCTGTAATCCCTGCACTTTGGGGGGCCGAGGCGAGCAGATCACCTGAGGTCAGGAGTTCATGACCAGGCTGACCAACATGGAGAAACCCCGTCTCTACTAAAAGTACAAAATTAGCCGGGTATGGTGGCACATGCCTGGAATCCCAGCTACTTGGGAGGCTGAGGCAGGAGAATCACTTGAACCCGGGAGGTGGAGCTTGTGGTGAGCCAAGATCACATGCCATTGCACTCCAGCATGGGCAACAAGAGCGAAATTCCGTCTCTCTCTCTCTCTCTCTCTCACACACACACACACACACACACACACACAACAAAAAACAAAAAACCTAGATGACAGGTTGATAGGTGTAGCAAACCACCATGGCACATGTATACCTATGTAACAAACCTGCATGTTCTGCACATGTATCCAAGAACTTAAAGCAAAATTAAAAAAAAAAATAAGCTATAGGACTCTGACAAGTATGCTCAAATATCAGTTTCTGATAACTTTGGAGATTGTGACATTGGCACACAGGAAAAATGTACAGGACTCATGAAGAGCTGAAATGTTCATGAATATCAAGCAAAACAAGAGTTAACTGAATGGACTGAACTAATAGAAAACTGAAGTAATCTTCTGGACTTTTGCTTGGAACATTGCTGATCCTTGTTTCATTTTTCAGAGTCGAGGAAAATTATTAGGAATTATTTACAGCCTTTAATAATTGAGTAGGGTGGCCAGGCGCGGTGGCTCACGCCTGTAGTCCCAGCACTTTGGGAGGCCAAGGCGGGTGGATCACGAGGTCAGGAGATCGAGACCATCCTGGCTAACACGGTGAAACCGTGTCTCTACTAAAAATACAAAAAATTATCAGGGTGTGGTGGCAGGCGCCTGTAGTCCCAGCTACTCGGGAGGCTGAGGCAGGAGAATGGCATGAACCCGGGAGGCGGAGCTTGCAGTGAGCTGAGATCACGCCACTGCACTCCCACCTGGGCCACAAAGCGAGACTCCGTCTCAAAAAAAAAAAAAATTGAGTAGGGTATACTCCTGTGAACAAAATTTGGAGCATGTTTGTTTCTCTCTGCCTGGTTCCTCTAGAATTTAGAAACTATCTATGAGTATTCATAACTTATGACAATATAGTTGTTTGTATCAGTGCAGTAAGAATCCATTTTCTTTTGCAACAGGATGCAATTGGAGAAACTGGTTGTTTTACCAAGGCTTTGACTGGAATGGTATGCTTCCCTTTAAGGAGTCAATCTCAACTTGCAGAGCCAATAAAAGTCCTTTGGTAAAACTGGCTTCATGCCCTTGTCTACACAGTCTCCATACAGGGTTCCTAACCTGCAATGAGTAAAGAATGTCACTTTCCAACAGGCCCAGAAAACACATGCTCTTGGGACCTCAAGAAGAGAGGAGTTTACCCAACTCACAGGTATTTGAGGATACAAACTCATGGCTGGCCTGAGCTTTAAAAGGTCTTATCTGAAATTCCTTGTGGAACAGAGTTCCATCAAAGTCAATCTAAAAGGCCTATGTAGAAATAATTATTTTTGCTGCACTTTATGCAAATAATCAGGCCAAGTATAAGATTAAAGTCGATTTTGCAAACAACTGAGTTCTAACTTGATTTGTTTTTAACAGAAATGAGGACTAGAAGGCTGGGCATGGTGGCTCATGCCTGTAAACCCACCACTTTGGGAGGCCAAAGTGGGTGGATCACCTGGTATCAGGAGTTCAAGACCAGCCTGGCCAACATGGTGAAACCCCGTCTCTACTGAAAATATTAAAAATTAGCCAGGTGTGGTGGTGTGCGCCTGTAGTCCCAGCTACTCGGGAGGCTGAGGAACGAGAATCTCTTGAACCGAGGAGGTGGAGGTTGTGGTGAGCCAAAATTGTGCCACTGCACTCCAGCCTGGGTAACAGAGCAATACTCTGTAAGGAAGAAGGAGAGGAGAGGAGAGGGGAGGGGAGGGAAGGGGAGGTGAGGGGAGAAAGAGGGGAGATGGAAAGAGGGGAGGGAGTGAAGCTGAGCGTGGGGGCTCACACCTGTAATCCCAGCACTTTGGGAGGCCGAGGTGGGTGGATTGCCTGAGGTCGGGAGTTCAAGACCAGCCTGACCAACATGGAAAAATGCTGCCTCTACTAAAAATACAAAATTAGCTGGGCATGGTAGCGCATGCCTGTAATCCCAGCTACATGGGAGGCTGAGACAGGAGAATCGCTTGAACCTGGTAGGCAAGATTGTGCCATTGCACTCCAACCTGGGTAACAAGAGTGAAACTCCATCTCAAAAAAAAAAAAAAAAAAAAAAGATTAAAAAAATATATAGAGAGAAATTATATTTCAAAACTTATATATTTGTCATTAAAGTTTAGACTCATTAGTTGTTTCTAAGTTTTGCCTACATTTTAAACTAACCCTGCTTATTCCTGTAAACCAACCAGGGATCTCTGGCTGCAGCTCAGAAACAACAAGAGGGATGGGTAATGTAAAAATCTGGATCAATATTCTAGTTCTGAGCAATTATCCTGCAAATCCTTCCAGGTGATGGGAATAAATACAGTGCCCATAACCCAGAGGTTTCCTCTGTGGGAAAGTAAGACCAAGGGAGCTAACAAAAGCCAAGCCTCATGCACCCAAATCCCAGGAAGCATAACTATAGCCACCAGTTATCTGGCCATGTCACAAGACATCTTTTTCTCTCCTTTGTTGGAGGAAGACTCAATCCCACATCTTCACCCTAGCATTCAGCTTATGATAAGGAGTCCACACAACCCCCCAAAAAACATTTTTGTCCCAAACTCAATTTCAAGCTTCAGGTCAAAGCCCTAGAAAGAAAACTGGATCTGAGGGATCCAGAGGCAGGTGATAATGGAAGTTAAAAGGCACAGTGCAGGTGAGCATAATTAATTCCTGCTGATTAAGCCAAGCTTCCCGTTCCATGGATAAAGATCATGCTAGTATCTGTGGCATAAATGAGGTCTAGGGAATTTAAAAGCTACTGACAGCAGGGGAGATAGGGCATATGTGGGTAAGAGTAAATACTCCCACCCCCTAGAACCCCCTGTTAATATGAGTGAAAACCACTTTGACACCCATGGGTGGGAACCTGTCATGGTTGCTGGGACTCCGGGATACAAGGACAGAAGAGAGAAGGAGTGACACCTCACTTTCTCTCCCTCACGTACTCTGGGTATTTGCTAGGAAGGGAAAGGAACCAGGGACAGACCTGTTCCCCTCTTTCTAGATGAGTAGCCATTCATCTTCAGTCTGTGCCCCTTTCTTTCTTTTTCTTTTTCTTTTTTTTTTTTTTTTTGAGACGGAGTTTCACTCTTGTCGCTGCACTCCAGGCTGGCAGGCTGGAGTGCAGTGGAGCAATCTCAGCTCACCGCAACCTCCACCTCCCAGGTTCAAGCGATTCTCCTGCCTTAGCCTCCTGAGTAGCTGGGATTACAGGCGTGAGCCACCGTGCCCAGCTAATTTTTTTGTATTTTTAGTAGAGACGGGGTTTCGCCATGTTGGCCAGGCTGGTCTCCAACTCCTGATCTCAGGTGATCCGGCCGCCTCAGCCTCCCAAAGTGCTGGGATTACAGGTGTGAGCCACTGGCCCCGCTGTCTGTGCTCCTTTCGAATGCGTCCTGAACCCTTGGGACTCCTCTGAGGAAAACGCCTTCTTTTTTTCCTTTTTTCTCCTCTGTCCTCTCTTCACCGATAGGTAATTGTGTCTCCATACTACGGGACATTCCCCTCAGATGCATCCTCCAAACTGAGAAGAGTTAATTTCCCAATCCTGCTGGGCACGGTGGCTCACGCCTGTAATCCCAGCACTTTGGGAGGCCAAGATGGGCGGATCACGAGGTCAGGAGATCGAGAACATCCTGGCTAACACGGTGAAACCCCCTCTCTACTAAAAAATATGAAAAATTAGCTGGGCGTGGTGGCGGGCGCCTGTAGTCCCAGCTACTCGGGAGGCTGAGGTGGGAGAATGGCGTGAACCCGGGAGGCGGAGCTTGCAGTGAGCCGAGATCGCACCACTGCACTCCAGCCTGGGCGACAGAGCAAGACTCTATCTCAAAAAAAAAAAAAAGAAAAAAAGAAAAAAAAATTCCCAAACCTTAGACTGGTTGGCTTAGGATGGGGCTCAGGGGAGGGGAACCCAGAAGCCTGACATGCTGGTGAAAGGGTAAAAAGGGTAAAGTGGATTTTTTATAAGTCAGGCTTTTGGCCTTCCACTCCTTGTGCAAACCAGTAAAAGGCCTCAGGAATTTTTTTTTTTTTTTTTTTTTTTTTTGAGACGGAGTTTCTGTCTTGTCATCCAGGCTGGAGTGCAATGGCACAATCTTGGCTCACTGCAACCTCCACCTGGGTTCAAGCGATTCTCCTGCCTCAGCCTCCCGAGTCGCTGGGATTACAGGCACCTGCCACTGTGCCCAGCTAATTTTTTTTTTTTTGTATTTTTAGTAGAGATGGGGTTTCACAATGTTGGCCAGGCTGGTCTCGAACTCTTGACCTCCGGTTATCCACCTGCTTTGGCCTCCCAAAGTGCTTGAGCCACCGCACCTGGACGTTTCTTTTCTTTTTTTTGAGACGGAGTCTTGCTCTGTCACCCAGGCTGGAGTGCAGTGGCACTATCTTGGCTCACTGCAACCTCTGCCTCCCCGGGTTCAAGCAATTCTCCTGCTGGGATTACAGGCACGTGCCACTATGCCCAGTTAATTTTCATATTTTTAGTAGAGACAGGGTTTCTCCACGTTGGTCAGGCTGGTCTTGAACTCCTGACCTCAGGTGATCCACCCGCCTCGGCCTCCCAAAATGCTGGGATTATAGGCGTGAGCCACCACTCCCAGCCAAGGCCTCAGGATTTTTAAGCTGTCCTTACCCCCACCTTATTTTGCCTTGATACAAGTTTTCTGACAACCTGGTTTGTCTCTTCTCGGCTTCAGGCCATCAAAGTCCAAATGGTCATGCAACTGGAGCCTCAGATGATGGCGGCCCCTTTTGCCAGGGACCCTTAGATAGGCCTCTAAGGGAGCTCCGACAGCCATCTTCTCAAAACAGCGCCCCCTGTCAGCAGGAAGCAGTTAAGACCGGTCTTGGTCTTTATCCTTATCCTTGTTCTAACAGCAGTTAGATGGACTTCTTTAGAGGCGGGATTAACAATGATAGATGCAGGAAGCAGATAAGGGGGTGGGTCCCCAGAGAATCTCCGACCAGCCTACGTACTAGAAGAATGTGGTGGAGCCATGTTAGTTCACGCCGTTTGCATCCAGGTGGAGCCTGGCCTCTTCAGTTCCTGTGTGGTGGCCTGGGATTCAATCTGTAAAGTGGGGGCCTGCTCGCAGGACTGCCCTCTCACTTTGCTGAGAGTTTCTTTCTTTTTTTTTCCTTTTCACCCAATAAACCCCGCTCTACCCACTGTTCAATGTGTCCGTGTGCGTAAATTTTCCTGGTCGTGTGATAAGAACCTGGTTTTTCTGCAACAGTATCACCTAACAGAAGAAAGAATTACAATCTGAAGATAGATCATAATATTATGCAATCCAAAGAATAGAAATAAAAATAATGAAGGAAAGGCTTGGCGCGTTGGCTCACACCTGTAATCCCAGCACTTTGGGAAGCCAAGGTGGGCAGATCACCTGAGGTCAGGAGTTCGAGACCAGCCTGACCAATATGATGAAACCCCATCTATACTAAAAATACAAAAAAAAAATTAGCTGGGCATGGTGGCATGCCCGGTGGCACCTGTAATCCCAGCTACTCAGGAGGTTGAGACAGGAGAATCACTTGAACCCAGGAGGCAGAGGTTGCAGTGAGCCGAGATTGTGCCACTGCACTCCAGTCTGGGCAACAGAGTGAGACTCTGTCTCAAAAAAAAAAAAAAAAAAAAATGAAGAAAAATAAACAGAGCATCAAAGAAACGTGAGACACCATTAAGCACACCACCATACATGTAAGGGAAATACCAGAAGCAGAGCAGAGAACGAGCAAATAAAAGTCAAAGAAATAATTGGCTGGAAACTTCCCAAACTTACTGAAAAACATTAATGTACAAATCCAAAGAGCTCAACAAACTCTACGCAGAATAGACACAAAGAGATCCACAATTATATATATTAGTTAAAAAAAAAAAAACTAGGCCAGGCGCGGTGGCTCATGCCTGTAATTCCAGCACTTTGGGAAGGCCGAGGCAGGTGGATCACCTGAGGTCAGGAGTTTGAGACCAGCCTGGCCAACATGGTGAAACCTGTCTCCACTAAAAATACAAAAAATTAGCTGGGAGTGGTGGCACACGCCTGTAATCCCAGCTACTCGGGAGGTTGAAGCAGGAGAATTGCTTGAATATGGGAGGCCGAGGTTGCAGTGAGCTGAGATCGCACTACTACACTCAAGCATGGGTGACAGAGCAACACTGTCTCAAAAAAAAACAAAAACAAAAAGGAAACAACCTAAAGTCCATCAACTCATGAATGAAGAAAGAAAATGTGGTATATTCACATACAATGGAATACATGACAACAAAAAGTGATTAATTACTGATATAGGCTACAAAATGTATGAATGTTGAAATTATATAAGTGAAAGAAGCCAATCACAAAATACCACATATTCTACAATGCCATGAATATGAAGTGACCAGAATAAGCAAATATAAAGAGACAGAACACAGGTTCGTGATTGCCTAGTGCAGGGCTTGGGGGCTAAACAAAATGAAGAGTTACTGCTAATGTATATGGGGTTTCTTTTCTTTTTTTTTTTTTTTTGAGATGGAGTCTTCCTCTGTCACCCACCCAGGCTGGAGTGCAGTGGCATAATCTTGGCTCACTGCAACCTCCACCTCCCAGGTTCAAGCAATTCTGCCTCAGCCTCCCAAGTAGCTGGGATTACAGATGCCCACTGCCACGCCCAGCTAATTTCTGTATTTTTACTAGAGATGGGGTTTCACCATGTTGGCCAGGCTGGTCTCGAACTCTTGACATCGTGATCCACCCACCTCGGCCTCCCAAAGTGCTGGGATTACAGGCACGAGCCACCGCGCCTGGCTTTTCTTTTTTTTCTTTTTTGTTTTGAGATGGAGTTTCACTCTTGTTGCCCAGCCGGGAGTGCAGTGACGCGATCTTAGTTCACTGCAACTTCTGCCTTCCAGTTTCAAGCGATTCTCCTGTCTCAGCCTCCTGAGTAGCTGGGATTACAGGCATGCGCCAGCATGCCTGGCTAATTTTTGTATTTTTAGTAGAGACAAGGTTTCACCATGTTGGCCAGGCTGGTAGAACTCCTGACCTCATAATCCGCCTGCTCGGCCTCCCAAAGTGCTGGGAGAATTGCAGGTGTGAGCCACTAAGCCCGGCCAGTATATGGAGTTTCTTTTGGGGTGATTAAGCTGTTCTAAAACAGATTGTGGTGGTCATACAAGTCTGAATATGTTCAAAAACCATTGAAATCTACACTTTAGGTGAATTGTATCATAATTAGTTATATCTGAATAAAGCTGTTATGAAAAGAGAATGAGAGTGAAATAAATATATCATCGGATAAACAAAAGCTGAAAAAGATTAAGACCAACATAACTCATTAAAGGAAATTGTTTGACATGCATCAGACAGAAGAAACATGATCCCGGATGAAAGAAAATTTGAGATGCAAGAAGGAATTAAGAGAAAAGATATTGAAGCCAGGCACGGTGGCTCAGGCCTGTAATCCCAGCACTTTGGGAGGCTGAGGCGGGCAGATCACCCAAGGTCGGGAGTTCGAGACCAGCCTGACCAACGTGGAGAAACCCCATCTCTACTAAAAAATACAAAATTAGCTGGGCATGGTGGCTCATGCCTGTAATCCCAGCTACTTGGGAGGCTGAGGCAGGAGAATCGCTTGAACCTGGGAGGCGGAGGTTGCGATGAGCCGAGATCTCGCTGCTGCACTCCAGCCTGGGCAACAAGAGCGAAACTCCGTCTCAAAAAGAAAAAAAGATATTGATAGATATCTAAGGAAATCTAAACTAACTTTAATAGTAAAATATAATAATGTCTTATTTATGACAATTGTCATAGTACAAATACTAGACAGTAGTTGCATTTAAATGAAAGAAGGGTTCAGAATTGAAGCATTGTAAGATCCTAGTATGATTCAGCAAGAGAGTAACTGTGTTTTTTAACTATATTTTATCTTATTTATTTGATTTGATTGTGATTGATTAGAGACAGCGTTCACCCTGTCACCCAGGCTGGAGTGCAGTGGCATTATTTTGGCTCCCTGCAGCCTCGACCTCCTGGACTCAAGTGATCCTCCTGCCTCAACCTCCCAAAGTGTTGGGATTACAGGCATGAGTCACTGCATCCAGCCTATATTTCTAACTTTAGACTTCAACTTATATAGCTTAAAATAATTTTGGTAAATTTTTAAAAAATAAAATACAAAAAAAAGAAAAATAATAATTGGGGTAGTCACACACACAAAATAGACATAAAGCATAGATTTTAAACATATAGTGAGAAAATAATGAAACGAGAAAAAACATTAACCCTCTGGAAGGCATGAGAGGAAAGGAGGAAAAGTGAGAAAGATAACTGTGAAGTAAATAAGAGAGTAGGAAGAAAATCCAAATGTATTAGTAGTCATACTAAATGCAAATAGGCTAAATTCTCCAATAAAAGGACAATTGGTTGTAAGAAGGTATAAAAAACAAAAGCCCATGATATACTATTTATAAGAGGCTTAAATGTAAAGATACAGAAAGATGGAAGAATAATATACTTGAAAAATTCCAACTGAAAGAAAAACTGGTGTAGCTATCTCAGATAAAATTGACCCTAAGTTGGCCAGGCATGGTGGCTCACGCCTGTAATCCCAGCACTTTGGGAGGCTGAGGTGGGTGGATCATCTGAGGTCAGGAGTTCGAGACCAGCCTGGCAAACAAGGTGAAACCCTGTCTCCACTAAATATACAAAAATTACCCGGGCATGGTGGCAGGCGCCTGTAATCCCAGCTACTTGGGAGGCTGAGGCAGGAGAATTGCTTGAACCTGAGGGATGGAGGTTGCAGTGAGCCAAGATTGCACCACCACACTCCAGCCTGGGTGACAGAGCGAGACTTCATCCCAAAACAAAAACAAACAAAAAAAAATTGACCCTAAGTTAAAAAGCACTTCTTGAGATAAAGAGGATTGCTACAATGATAAAAGAGTCCATTCACCAGGAAAGTATTAGAATTTTAAGCTGGAATGAACTAAAAACATTAAGCATACAAAGTAAGACAAGTAAGATGAAATTGAAAAATTCGTCGGGCCCAGTGTCTCATGCCTGTAATCCCAGCACTTTGGGAGGCCAAGGTGAGTGGATCACCCTGAGGTCAGGAGTTGGAGACCAGCCTGGCCAACATGGTAAAACCCCGTCTCTAAAAATACAGAAAAATTAGCTAGGCGTGGTGGCGTGCACCTGTAATTCCAGCTACTCAGGAGGCTGAGGCAGTAGAGGCAGTAGAATCATGGGAACCTGGGAGGTGGAGGTTGCTTTGAGCTGGGATTGCACCACTGCACTCCAAACCTGGGTGACAGAGTGAGACTCTGTCTCGAAAAACAGAAAAGAAAAAAAAATACATATATATATATATATATATATATATATATATATGTACAAAATAAATCACTCACAGATCAAACATATCAAAATGGAAATTAGAAAATGATTTGGAATAATGATGATAGAGTCCCATGTAGCATAAAAACCTATGGCTTGAGGCTGGGCACAGTGGCTCATGCCTGTAATCCCAGTGCTTTGGGAGGCCGAGGCAGGTGGATCACGAGGTCAGGAAATCGAGACCATCCTGGCTAACATGCTGAAACCCAGTCTCTACTAAAAAATTAGCTGGGTGTGGTGGCACGCACCTGTAGTTCCAGCTACTTGGGAGGCTGAGGCAGGAGAATCGCTTGAACCCAGGAAGCAAAGGTTGAGGTGAGCCAAAATTGTGTCCTTGCACTCCAGCCTTGGCGACAGGAGCGAAACTCCATCTCAAAAATAAATAAATAAATAAAAACAAAAATGAACCTAGCTGGGTGCGGTGGCACATGCCTGTAATTCCAGCACTTCGGGAGGCCAAGGAGGGAGGATCGCTTGAGTCCAGGAGTTCAAGACTAGCCTAGGCAACATAGTGAGACTTTGTCTCTACAAAAAATAAAATTAGCCAGGCGTGGTAACTCACACCTGTAGTTCTACCTACTCAGGAGCCTGAGTGGGAGGATCGCTTGAGCCTGGGAGGTTGAGGCTGCAGTGAGCTGAGACTGCGCCACTGCACTCCAGTCTGGGCAACAGAGTGAAAACCTATCTCAAAAAAATTATATATATTCTCAGGATGAATGAAAAAATGGAGAGAGGGAGAGAAAAAGAGAAGACACATACATACAGTTGATTCTTATTGTTTGTGGATTTAATATTTGCAAATTCACCTACTTCCTAAAATTTATTTATAACTTTAAAATCAATAATTGTGGCCATTTGCAGACATGAGCAAACTGGTGAAAAATTTGAGTCACCCAACGCACACGTTCACCACTGAGGTTAAACAAGGCAGTGCTCTGCCTTCTAGTTTTCTATTTTCAATCTACTTAATGACATGTTTTTCATAGCTTGAAGGTTTTTGTTATTTTGCTGATTAAAATGTGCCCCCCAAGCTAGGCACGGTGGCTCACGCCTGTAATCCCAGCACTTTGGGAGGCCGAGGCGGGCGGATCATGAGGTCAGGAGATCGACACCATCCTGGCTAACATGGTGAAACCTTGTCTCTACTAAAAATACAAAAAATTAGCCGGGCGTGGTGGCGGGCGCCTGTAGTCCCAGCTACTCGGGAGGCTGAGGCAGGAGAATGGCGAGAACCCAGGAGGCAGAGCTTGCAGTGAGCCGAGATCACACCACTGCACTCCAGCCTGGGCGACAGAGCAAGACTCCGTCTCAAAATAACATAACAAACATAACATAAAACATACCATATGAAATAAAAAATAACATAAAATAAAATAAAATGTGCCCCCCAGACCAGGCGTAGTGGTTCACACCTGTAATCCCCAGCACTTTGGGAGGCCGAGATGGCTGGATCACCTGAGGTCAGGAGTTCAAGGCCAGTCTGACCAACATGGTGAAACCCCATCTCTACTAAAAAAAAAAAAAAAAAAATACAAAATTAGCTGGGTGTGGTGGTGCATGCCTGCAGTCCCAGCTACTCGGGAGGCTGAGGCAGGAGACTTATTTGAACCCAGGAGGCGGAGGTTGCAGTGAGCCGAGATGGCACCATTGCACTCCAGCCTGGGCAAGAGTGAAACTCCATCTCGAAAAAAGAATGAGAGAAAAATTTGCAAAAATGATTAAGAGCCTCAAAAACCTGTGGGGGGGGAAATCAAAAAGTCTAGTAGGCATGCTACTGAATTCTCAGAAGGAAAGAATAGGACAGAAAAAAAGTATTTGAAAGAATGTCTAGGCCAGGCGCGGTGGCTCACGCCTGTAATCCCAGCACTTTGGGAGGCTGAGGCAGGTGGATCACAAAGTCAGGAGATCGAGACCATCCTGGCTAACATGGTGAAACCCCGTCTCTACTAAAATTACAAAAAATTAGCCGGGTGTGGTGGCAGGCGCCTGTAGTCCCAGGTACTTGGGAGGCTGAGGCAGGAGAATCGCTTGAACCCAGGAGTCAGAGGTTGCAGTGAGCCAAGATAGCGCCACTGCACTCCAGCCTGGGCGATAGACCGAGACGCCATCTTAAAAAAAAAAAAAAAAGTCTAAAAACTTCCCAAATACGCTAAAAGGCAATTTTACAGAATCAAAAATCTCAGGGAAACTCAAACGGGATAAATGAGAAAACTATGCCTGGGCACACAGTGGTGGTTAATGGTACGCGTCAACTTGACTGAGTTAAGGAACGCCCAGAGAGCTGGAAAAACATTCTTTCTGGGTGTGTCAGTGAGAGTGTTTCTTGAAGAGGTCGGCATTTTAATCGGTAGACTGAGTAAGGTTCTCTTGCACCGCCATAGGTGGGCATTGTCCAATCAAGTGAGGGCTTGGAAAGAACAAAAAGGTAGAGGAAGGGTGAGTCCTCTCCTTGAGCTCAGACATCCAACTTCTCCTGCCTTTGGACCTAGAAGCTCCCAATTCTTGGGTCTTTAGACTCCAGGACTTACACCAGCGCCACCACTGCCACCACTGCCACCACCACCCCACCTCCAGTTCTCAGGCCTTTGGACTCAAGACTGAATTACACCACCAGCTTCCTGGTTCTCCAGATTACAGATGGCAGATTGTGAAACTTCTTGGTCCCTGTAATCGTTTGAGCGAATTCCCATGACAAAACCCCTCATTTTTGCTGTGGGGAAGCTCAAGTAAATAGAAAAAAATATATATGTATATATATAATCACATATAAAAGTAATGTGATTATTAGCACAGGAAGATATATATCTCTCCCAATGGTTCTGCTTCTCTGGAGAACTCCAATATACACACCAAAGCTAAACTGTCAAAAACCAAAGAACCAGAGATAAAAAGAAAATCTTGAAAGCATTTAGAGAAAAATAACACAAGAAATATGATCCCAAAGACTGTGAACTTCTCACTAGAAACTGTGAGGGCCGGAAGATAGGACATCTTAGGGACTTCCCTTTCAGAAGCCCCTCTCCCCCACAAGAGAGCGAGCTGTTCTCTTTTCTCTATCTTTTGCATATTAAACCTCTGCTCCTAAAAAAAAAAAAAAAAGTGCTAAAAACAAAAAATGAATCTGTCACACCAGAATCCTATCTCTAGCAAAGATATTCTTTAGGAATGAAGGCAAAATAGACATTTCTAGATAACAGGCCAGGTGCAGTGGCTCATGCCTGTAATCCCAGCACTTTGGGAGGCCAAAGTGGACAGATCACCTGAAATCAGGAGTTTGAGACCAGCCTGGCCAACACTGTGAAATCCCTTCTCTATTAAAAATACCAAAGTAGCTGGGCATGGTGACGGACATCTGCAATCGCAGCTACTTGGAAGGCTGAGGCAGTGAGAATTGCTTGAACCCAAGAGGCAGAGGTTGTAGTGAGCCGAGACTGCGCCACTGCACTCCAGCCTGGGCAACAGAGCGAGACTGTCTCAAAAAAATAAAATAAAAATAAAAATACCTCAAGTAAATCAGAAATGACTTGCAGAGGATGTAGAACATTGATACCACATTAAGGTGCTAATGAAAGGGGGAAAAATAGCCGGCTAAAACTAGCGTATTACCCCCAAGTCCTTTTACTTCAGCTTCTGTATTACAACATCTATATAATCTTTTCATTCTTGGTTTGAGGCCAAAATCAAAGTACATTTTTGTTCACTTGTTAGTGACTCAAGAAAAGTATAGGAAAAAATACCAAAGAAAGTATGCCTCCTAGTGGTGGGATTATGGGTGATCATTTTTCTCCCTCTGCATTATACTTTTCTACACTTTTCCAAATTATTTATGACAATCAGTAAAACAAGTTAAAAAGCTGTTATGGTCAATATCACCTTAATAGAGGACAAGAGCTGCATCTGTTGTGACTATAACAAACTCAGTACAGAGCAGTGCCTGGCACAGAGCAGGGGCTGTGTGTGGGCTGACTGTAAGGTACCCTCCCATTTTCCTGGTCCCCTCCCCCTAACAGATCAAGCAGCAGCCCAGGCAGGAGGCAGGGGCCTGGGGGTCTCCTGAACCCCAATGAAGCACTCGATGTACATACTTTTGGTCAAAATTAGTAAACTTTATTTAAACTTCAAAAAAATAAAATAACAGACAAAAGGCAGCTTTAGCTTTGTTCTTCCCGAGGATCAGCTGTAACCACTCACAGCAGGAACTACCCCTAAGTTAAAATACCCTTTACCCGCCCCGCATCAAGCCACAGGCAAGGAAGGATCTTCAATTTGGGGACAGGCAGGGGGTGGGTGGGGTAGGAGTGAGAACACCACTGGGCCAGTGAGTTCTAACAGCACAAGTGGAGAACAAGACAAGAGTCTGCATCAGAAACGGGATCCAGAAGTTCACCGGGAGCTCTGCCACAAGGCATTTATGTACAACGGAGCTGGGCTGGGGGTGACGCCCCGTGAGGGAGGCAAGAACTGCACAGCAGCACGGGCAAGCTGCCCTGGGCCCTAGCCCGCTGCCGCACCCCACGTGCCCTCAGTTCTCCTCGTCACTGTCATCCGGGCTGATAGCCGGGCTTGTGAGACTGTAGGTGGGGCTGGTGGGCGAGTAACCAGGGGAAGTGGGAGAGTAGGTTGAGCCTTTGGGGGAGGTGGGCGAGTAGGTGGGGCTGGTGGGCGAGTACTTGGGGGAAGTGGGCGAGTAAGTGGGGCTAGTAGGTGAGTACTTGGGAGAGGTTGGGGTGTAGACTGGAGAGGTTGGGGAATAAGTAGGAGATGTTGGGGAGTATTTTGGGGTGGTGGGTGAATAGGTGGGACTGGTAGGCGAGTACTTGGGAGAGGTGGGTGAATATTTGGGACTGGTAGGTGAGTACTTGGGAGAGGTTGGGGTATACTCTGGGGAGCTGGGACTGTAAGAAGGACTGGTTGGGGTGTACTTGTGGGTGAGGTTGGGCTGTAGCTGGGCGAGCTGGGGCTGTAGCTGGGTGAGCTTGGGGTATAGGTTGGAGACTGTGGTGTGTATCGTGGGCTGGAAGGGGAGTAACTTGGTGAGGTCGGGGAATAGCTGGGTGATGTTGGAGAGTAGCTTGGAGAGGTTGGGCTGTAGTTAGGGCTGGTAGGTGTGTAGTTGGGACTAGTAGGTGAATAGCTGGGTGATGTCGGGCTGTAGCTGGGTGATGTTGGGGTGTAATTGGGACTGGTTGGAGAATAGTTCGGGCTGGTGGGTGAGTAACTTGGGGAAGTGGGTGAGTAGCTGGGGGAGGTGGGTGAATAGCTTGGAGAGGTAGGTGAGTAGCTGGGAGAAGTGGGAGAATAGCTGGGTGAAGTTGGCGAGTAGCTGGGAGATGTCGGCGAGTAGCTGGGAGACGTTGGCGAGTAGCTAGGGGAAGTGGGCGAGTAGCTAGGGGAAGTGGGTGAGTAGCTGGGAGAGGTGGGCGAGTAGCTGGGAGAGGTGGGCGAGTAGCTGGGAGAGGTGGGTGAGTAGCTGGGAGAGGTCGGTGAGTAGCTGGGTGACGTTGGCGAATAGCTGGGTGATGTGGGACTATAGTTGGGACTGGTTGGAGAATAGGATGGAGAGGTAGGGGAGTAGGAGGGTGAAGTGGGGGAATAAGAGGGACTCTGGGGTGTGTAGCCCCCAGGAGAGCGGGGCTCGTAGGCAGGTGACGTTGGCGAGTAGCTGGGAGACATGGCACCACCTGTGGGGAAGCAGCCAACAAAGGAGATGAGCAATGGACAGACTCACCCAGAACTGTGGAGGAAACAAACCTGGCCTGACAGATGGCGACAACTCACCTGGTGAAGGGATGTAGGGGCTTGAGGGACCTGGGGACCCCGGGGAGCCCGGTGTGGGAGACCAGGCAGGGGAGTAACCTGGGCTGAAGCCGCTGGCATCTGACGCAGCACTGGGAGAGAAGCCGGCTGCCCCTGGGGTCATTCCACTCCCTATAGAGTGAGAGAAGCAAGTTAAGGCCAGAGCGGGAGACCAAAGGCCCCCAATTCTCCCTGCCCCACCTTTCACTAGCCCTCTGCGGCCTTCAGAGTTCCAACAATGGCTACCGTTCACGATCCCAGCTTATCCACCTCTGAACCACCTGGAGGGCCCTCTTCCTGGATCAGGTTACTCACCAACACTGGGGGACCAGGCGCCATAGGCAGGGGTTGCACCCTGGTTCCAAGGTGTCATGGCAGGAGAGATTCCACCCATGGGACTGGGTGCTGAACCAAAGAACATGCCGGTGGCTGCAAAGAGGAACACAGGAAATCGTGAGGAGCAAGAACAGCAATCATGGACTGGTGACACCCTTGCACCCATGGCCTGCCCCCCCGCCTCGCCGACGCAAGCAGGTACCGCAGCTGGGGCCTCATACTCACGTCCAGCAGCCCCCAGGCCGGGGATATTGGTGGGGATCTCCATGCCATACTTGCACTTCTCTGCATCAAGCAGGAGGTCAAAGCAGCCAGTGCCGGCCGGAGCCAGCTGGCCCAGCATGATATTCTCAGAGACCCCCTTCATGGGGTCACTCTCACCGTGTGCGGCTGCTTCCATAAGCACGTCCACCTGAACAGAGCAGACCGGCCCCATGAGACCCCTCCACACACAGCACCTGACTGTCCCATCACCACAGCCCAGCTGCCCAAAGTGTGTGCCCTTCTTCTCACACTACTCCCTCCTTCTGCCCTATTCAGAAATTCCACTGTTACCGTTTCCTCAAAGGAACACTTCATGAGTGGTCCTGTGTCCTGGCGGTTGACTCCGTGTCGGGTGATGGCCATCAAGTGGCCACGACAGGTCATGGTATCACACAAGAGAGCCAAGTGTCGGTAATTGACATAGGAGCCATCAAAGGAGATGACGTGGTACAGCTCCCGCTCCAGGGCCTTCCGCACGGCTTCAATGCCCAGCACCTGGCACAGGGGAGGGAAGTGGAGGGGAGGGCCAGGACTGAGCAACTCTGCTCTCTTCCCTGCTTCTGTCGCCACCCAGATCCAGGGAGGGTGTCAGGAGCCAGGATATCCCACACTCAGAAATGGAATCAGGCAGAAAAAGTCCTGAGTGGACAGCACAGAATGAGGGGCCTGAGAGCCAGAGATCCACGAAAGGCAGCTAGGCAGCACACACGGGCTCACCGTGAAGATCTCCACAATGTCATTGGACGTGGTGCGTACGGGGTCCACGTCCTTCTCACTCAGCACCCGCATCAAGCTCACGCCGTCCGTCTCCAGGATCCACTCCTGCAGGGCCTTGAATTCCCCATCCTCCGTGATGATGATCTTCTTCTTGTTGTCTGTCTGTGGCAAGTGCATGTACACCTGTGGGAAGACAGCGTGCTCAGAGTAGGCAGGGAGGGGAGTGTGGGAGTGGGAGGAGGAAGGCGGTGGCAGAGGGGATGGCTGACCTTGCTGATCTGCTCGATGCCCTGCAGGGTCATATCTGTCAGCATGTTGGACTCGATGCAGCGCAGGAAGACATCATCATCCATCTTGTCCACCACCTCTTCCTCCTGCAGTGAGAGTGAGGTCAGCACTTGGCATCCTCTGGTCTCTTCCCCAGCTCTCGCCTCCAACTACAGCCTCTTTGAGGGCCAAACGAGTCAGTCACCAGGCTCTGCCCCTCACAGTTCCAGTGAGACTTTTTTTTTTTTTTTTTTGAGGTGGAGTCTCGCTGTTATCAGCCTGGGCTGGAGTGCAATGCCACGATCTCAGCTCACTGCAACCTCTACCTCCCATGTTCCTGCAATTCTCCAGTGAGACTTTTAATCCTGATTTTACAATATTAAAAGAAGCCTAAGGAAAGGCACCCAAATCCCACCACCCCGTCACAACTTCCACTCTTGTGCAGTCCTGCGCCTAGCGAGAGGCGGGCTCCACGTACATGTCATATCCTCCCAACTGCTGTACCCGAGCACACACCATTCCCTGCTCTGGCACTTCACTGTGTGTTCATCTAGGCTGCTGCTGGCATGACAGTGATCACTTCTAATGGCCATATACTGTATTCCATCAAGACCTATCAATGCTTTTATAACTGTTCTCTGACAGCAGTTCAGCAGTTAGTGAGTTCTTCAGTTTTTTGTTTTTGTTTTTTTAGAGATGGAGTTTCGCTTATTGCCCAGGCTGGAGTGCAATGGTGTGATCTTGCCTCACCACAACCTCTGCCTCCCATGTTCAAGCATTTCTCCTGCCTCAGCCTCCTGAGTAACTGAGATTACAGGCATGCGCCACCACGCCCGGCTCATTTTGTATTTTTAGTAGAGACGGGGTTTCTCCATGTCGGTCAGGCTGGTCTCGAACTCCCGACCTCAGGTAATCTGCCCGCCTTGGCCTCCCAAAGTGCTGGGATTACAAGTGTGAGCCACCATGCCCAGCCTGAGTTCTTCAGTTTTTATTACTAAAGCACCAGGTACCAACATGTGCCAAACAAGTATCTCAGGAGCCATGCCCAGGAGTGAAGTCACTGATCCAGCCTTTTCATGGGTCTTGTTATGGCTGTCACACGACTTCCCCTAGGACATAGCAATGCCTACTGCCCAACCTGCCCCCAAGTCTGGCCCCTGCCTCAGGGGTGGGGCTTGTATTCCCTAAGCAAAGCAAGCTGCAGGAGCCTTGGGGGAGGAGAGCCAAGTGACAGCGTGACAGGGAGGCACTCCTATCTCCTATTTCAACACCACCTGTTTTATCTACTCGGCCGGTGCTGTGGATTTTGAAAATCGTTGCTAATCACCATTCCCTATCCCTAAATTAGGTGGGTATGACTGGCCCCTCAATGTTTTTTTTATTTTTTGAGATAGTTTCACTCTTGTTGCCTCAGCCTCCCAAGTAGCTAGGATTACAGGCACATACCACCATGCCCGGCTAATTTTTATTTTTAGTAGAGACGGGGTTACTCCATGTTGGTCAGGCTGGTCTCGAACTCCTGAGCTCAGGTGATCCACCCGCCTCAGCCTCCCAAAGTGCTGGGATTACAGGCGTGAGCCACCGCGCCTGGCCGCCCCTCAATGTTGATTGCATCTTCTTTTCTTTGGTCTCTAACGTGATTCATGCGTTTTATACATGTGACACGCTGACTTCTAGGACCCCCATTACCTCTTGCATCTTGTTCTCATCGCTGTTCATGATGCGAATACGGAGCACCAGCTTCTCTGCATTGTCATCATTAAAGATGCAGTTCAAGTCGTCACCAAAACCTGGTGGGGTGAGGAGCCATGAGAAAGGCTGCAGCTAAGGGGACTGGCCCCAGCCACTGTCCACTCGCAGCTCTCTCTGAGCAAGGCTCTCTTTTGGCTCCCCGCTCCTCACAGAAACTTTCTTTTCATAGAACCCCCTGGAAAGGGGAAGGGAGAACATTCAGAAGAGAAAGGGAGTGCAGAGGGGACCTGGAGAGTTGGAGGATGCCTCGGAGGGGCGGAACTGGTACATGCATGGGGGTGAGGGTGGGTAGCTCTTTGGGGGCTCAAGTGCGGTGAACACGATAGGTGGTAGCCCAGAGAGCGGGGCTCCTGAGCCAGGCCAGCCCTCCTAGGCTTACCAGCATTGATCTTTTCAGCAATCTGCTCCATGGTGAGCTTCCGGTCAGTCATGTGCTTCCGATCCAGCTCCACCCGCAACAGCCAGGGGGAGATTCGGGCCACATCAAAGTCAGGCATTTCATAGTAGACATTCACCCATTCCTGATCCTCTGCCACCACCGTGCTCTGGGGGTTGGGGTCATAGTAGATGGCTGTGTTGGCAGTCACCTTCCTCAACGTTGTATGCTCCAGACGGCACAGAATATCCTGGGAAGAGACAGAAGTCCATGACACAGGGAACTGAGTAGCTCTAAACGTCTCTTCTAACCCTCCTTATCAAGGGAATCCAAAACCCTTTATTCAAGGGGAAAAGTTCTCCTTTTTTTTCTTTTTTTCTTTCAGATGGAATCTCGCTCTTGTTGCCCAGGCTGGAGTGCAGTGGCACAATCTCGGCTCACTGCAACCTCTGCCCCCCAGGTTCAAGCGATTCTCCTGTCTCAGCCCCAACTAGCAGCTGGGATTACAGGCACACACGACCATGCCCGGCTAATTTTTCTATTTTTAGTAGAGATGGGGTTTCACCACCTTGGCCAGGTTAGTCTTGAACTCCTGACCTCAGGTGATCCACCTGCCTTGGCCTCCCAAAGTGCTGGGATTACAGACATGAGCCACCATACCCAGTTGAGTTCTCCTTCTTTTCTTCCGGCCAAAAAGCCCAGCAGTCCTGATCCCTACCTTGGCTCTCTCAGCATCTCGAGCGGACTGGCCCAACAGGAAGACAGTAAGCGAAGGAGTCTTTGGCTTCTTGGAAATGTTGATGAGCTCCTTAAGTCGGGGCACACCCAGCGTCACATTCTTGGCAGACACACCAGCATAGTGGAAGGTATTCAAGGTCATCTGGGTGGCAGGTTCTCCAAGGGACTGCGCAGCCAGAGCCCCCACCATTTCCCCGGGATGCGCCTAAGAAAAAGCTAGCATCAGACAAAGCCAACGCCTCTCTTTCAGTGAATGAGTACGATGTGGATCTGCATCTGGCTTATCACAGGGCCAGGACTGTAATCTTAAAGGACATGGGTAGATGAGTTCGGAAAAGGCAGACAGACTCTTAACAAAAACAAAACTCTTATTTGATCATCCCCTTCCTCACACAAGAGCTTCCATTTATAGGACGCCATTTGGCACCTGGTATGCAGCACATCCAAAGAAAGCTACTATACCATCTGAGATCCAAATTTTTTCGAGACGGAGTCTCACCGTCGCCTAGGCTGGAGTGCAATGGCACGATCTCGGCTCACTGCAACTTCTGCCTCCCAGGTTCAAGCGATTCTCCTGCCTCAGCCTCCCAAGTAGCTGGAATTACAGACGCGTGCCACCACACCCAGCTAATATTTTTTTGTATCTTTAGTAGAGACGGGGTTTCACCATGTTGGTTAGGCTGGTCTCAAACTCCCGACCTCAGGTGATCCACCCGCCTTGGCCTCCCAAAGTGCTGGGATTACAGGTGTGGGCCTCTTCGCCCGGCCAAGATCCAAATTTCTAAACCTATGTTAAAATTACTCCGTAAATATTCATTTTATAACAGTTAGCTAAATAGGAAGCTCCCCGTATGTGTTATGAGATAGTCACATACGAAATTAAACTTAACTGGAATCACAGTATCTAACTTTTTCAGACTAATTTCTTCCATTAAGCAAGTATACATTTAAGGTTCATCACTGGCAAAGACAGAATTTCGTTATGCTGCCCAGGCTGGTCTCAAACTCCTGGGCTCTCGTGAGCCTCCTGCCTCGGCCTCCCAAAGTGTTGAGATTAGAGTTATGAGCCAGTGCATCTGGCTTATCACTGTCTTTTTGTGGCTTGACAGATTTTTTTTTTTTGAGATAGAGTCTCACTCTGTTGCCCAGGCTGAAGTACAGTAGCATGATCTCAGCTCACTATTGCAGCTTCAACCTCCTGGCCTCAGGTATCCTCCCACCTCAGCCTCCCAAGTAGCTGGGATTACAGGTGCACTCCACCACACCTGGCTAAATTTTTTGTAGAGATGGGGTTTTGTCATGTTGCCCAAGGGTGGTCTTGAACTTCTGGGCTCAAGCAATCTTCCCACCTCAGCCTCCCAAAGTGCTAGGATTACAGACATCAGCCACTGTGCTTGGCTGTCCGTTACTTTTTTTTTTTTGAGATGGTCTCCCTCTGTCGCCCAGGCTGGAGTGCGGTGGTGCAGTCTCAGCTCACTGCAACCTCTGCTGCCTGGGTTCAAGTGATCCTCCTGCCTTACCCTCCGAAGTAGCTGGGATAGCAAGCATGTAGCACCACACTTAATTTTTCTATTTTTGGTAGAGTTGGGGGTTTCACCATGTTGGGCAGGCTGCTGGTCTGGAACTCAAGTCATCTACCTGCCTTGGCCTCCCAAAGTGCTGGGATTACAGGCGTGAGCCACCACGTAGGCCCAGCCTGTTCATTACTTTTTATTGCTGAATGATGTTCCCTCATATGGACATATCACATTTTGCCTATCCATTCATCAGTGGATGGACACTTGTTTTCACTGCTTAGCTACTGTAACACTGATACGAACATTTGTGTATAAATGTTTGTGTGGCCATATGTTTTCTGTTCTCTCGTGTGTGTGTGTATAATCTCTCTAGGAACGAAACTGCTGGGCCATATGGTAACTGCTTTAACTTCCTAAAGCAGTTGTACCTTTTCTACTAGCAATGTATGAGGGTTCTAATTTTTCCACATCCTTGTCAACACTTGTTATTATCTGTGTTTTGGATTACAGTCATCCTAGTGCATGTGAAGTGGCACATCACTCTGGTTTCATTTGCATTTCCCTGATGGCTAATGATGTTGAGTATCTTTTCATGCACTTACTGATCATTTACATGAATAGTACTCTTCTTTGGGGAAACATGTTTTTTTTATTATTTATTTATTTATTTATGTATTTTTTAGTAGAGACGGGGTTTCACCGTCTTAGCCAGGATGGTCTCAATCTCCTGACCTCGTGATCTGCCCGCCTCGGCCTCCCAAAGTGCTGGGATTACAGGCGTGAGCCACTGCGCCCAGCCTGTTTTTTTATTTTATTACTATTTTTGAGACAGAGTCTCACTCTTGTTGCCCACGCTGGAGTGCAATGGCACTATCTCGGCTGATCGCAACCTCCACCTCCCAGGTTCAAGCGATTCTCCTGCCTCAGCCTCCCGAGTAACTGGGATTACAGGCATGTGCCGACATGCCCGGCTAATTTTGTATTTTTAGTACAGACGGGGTTTCTCCATGTTGATCAGGCTGGTCTCAAACTCCCAACCTCAGGTGATCCACCCGCCTCAGCCTCCCAAAGTGTTAGGATTACAGGCGTGAGCCACCACGCCCAGCCAGGAAACATTTGTTGAAATCCTTTGAGACTTTTTATTGTTGACTTTTTATTGTTATAGTCCTTTATATATTCTTTATGTATGGCCCTTATCAGATGATTTCCAAATATTTTCTCCCATTCTCTGTGTTATCTTTTTACTTTCTTGATAGTGTCCTACGAAGCATTAAGTTTTAAATTTTGATGAAGTCCAATTCATCTATTTTTTCCTTTGGATGCTTATGCTTTTGGTGTCATACCTAAGAATTCACTGCTAAGCCACAGTCATGAAGATTTATTCAAGTTTCCTTATAAGAGTTTTATAGTGTTAGCTCTTCAATTTAGGCATTTTGAGAGTTTTTGTACATGGTATGAGGTAGGAATCCAACTTCATTCTCTTGCATGTGGATATCTAGTTGCCCTAGCACCATTTGCTAAAAAGAGTATTCTCACCCCATTTAATTAAATTGGGACTCTTGCAAAAAATCAAGTGACCATAAATGTGAGGGTTTATTTCTGGACTCTCAATTCTACTCTATCAGTCTTTATACGTATCCTCATGACAGAAGCACAGTCTTGTTTACTGTAGCTCTGTAGTAAGTTGTGAAATCAGGAATGTGAGTTCTCCAAACTTTTGCTACTTTTAAATATTGTTTTGGCTATTCTATATCCCTTGCATTTCCATATGAATTTTAACATCAGCTTAATAAATTTCTGAGAAAAAGCCAGTTGGAATTTTGATAGGGATTATATTGGATCTATAGCTTATTTTGGGAAGTATATTAACAATATTAATATTCAACAATATTAAGTCTTCCAATCCATGAATATGAGAGGTCTTTCATTTAGGGTTTTTTTTTTTTTTTTTTGATACAGTCTCACTCTTGTTGCCCAGGCTGGAGTGCAATGGTGCAATCTCGGGTCACCGCAACCTCCATCCCCGGGTTCAGGTGATTCTCCTGTCTCAGCCTCCAGAGTAGCTGGGATTACAGGCATGTGCCACTATACCCTGCTAATTTTGTATTTTTAGTAAAGGTGGGGTTTCTTCCTGTTGGTAAGGCTGGTCTTGAACTCCTGACCTCAGGTGATCTGCCCACCTCGGCCTCCCAAAGTGCTGGGATTACAGGCATAAGCCACTGCACCCGGCCTCATTTAGGTCTTTTACAATTTCTTTCAGCCATGTTCTATGGTGTTCCCTAATACATTTTTAATTATTTAATTTATAAAAACTGACTTACAGTAAACAGGTTCAGAGGTACGCCTGTAACAGTGCTTTACCCTCTTACTATCCTATAAAATCCTTAAAGCCAGTGAAAGCACATTCCAATAGCCATAAATCTTTTTTTCTATTTACTCTCTCCAACTCCCTTTTTGAGACGGAGTCTTGCTCTGTTGCCCAGGCTGGAGTGCAAAGGCGCACTCTTGGCTCACTGCAACCTCTGCCTCCTGTGTTCAAGCGATTCTCCTGCCTCAGCGTCCTGAGTAGCTGGGATTATAGGCACACGCCACCACGCCCGGCTAATTTTTGTATTTCACCCTTGTTTCACCATGTTGGTCAGGCTGGTCTCGAACTCCTGACCTTGTGATCTGCCTGCCTCGGCCTCCCAAAGTGCTGGGATTATAGGTGTGAGCCACCCCACCTAGCCCCAATTCCCTATCTTTATCTAAATTAGACCCTGCACACAGCAGAGAGTGTAGAGAAAAAAAAAAAGAACAATTCTCCTATGTCATATCCCAGTCATGCCACTTACTTCCTATATGACCATCACACAATCCAGTCACTCTCTCCAAGCCTCAGTTTTTGTCTCTGCAACATGGGACTAACAAACCCTCCCCTACTAGGAGTGTATTAAAGCCATGATGGTATAAAGCGATAATGGGCCAAACACAGGACTTGGTAAGGTACAAGCAGTCTCTCCATGAATGAGAGCTATTATTAGGTGGGACAGAACCTACAGAACCTATTCTGTAGGTTGTGGACAGAAGTGGGCTGCTCTTGGAAACCACAGAAGTCAACAGGTAAAAGGAGGAAAAGAAGACTGCTGTGAAGAGCACAACACTCACAATGGCTTGGTTGAACTTGGACTCAATCTCCCCAAGCAGCCAGTCGAAGGCCTCCCCACTGAGCCGAAACTCCTCTGCCATGCGGCGGGAACACAACGTGGACCGCAGGTGGATGTTGAAGAGCAGCGTGGCATTTTCCTGGGCCTGTCGACTTAGTGGGTCATCCCCATTCACAATCACCAGCTTCTTGCTCAATTCCTTGACTCCTGGGGACCAATTAAAGGTGAGGAGATCATTAGACCAGGGCCCAGCAGTCTCCTATCCCCTAGCCTGGCTTGGAGACCCCTAAGCAGGTACTTACCCTCCACCACTTTGATGGGGTGCAGGTCGGAGGGAAGGCGTGGGTTGATGTGGAAGATTTTCTGAGCATTCCAGATCATCCGCAGCAGGTTACAGGGGAGGACGACCTGAGAGAGGGGGAAATGGAGGGAGGGCTGTGTCTGGGGACAGCCATCCAGGGAGGCACATCTCTAGCATCAGCACTTCGACCCACACGCACCTTGCTGTCTCCAGTTGGGAAGATGACCCTGAGCACCTCCCGATCCTCCCGCATCCGCTCAAATTCCCGCTCCAACTCGTTCTGGATGTGTGCGTTGCTCAGCACGTCCTTCACCAGGTCCTCCTGCAGAGTGCGCCGCAGGGCCCTCTCATTGGTATAATCAAAGCGGAACCTGGAAGTGCAAGGGGTAGCTAGTGGACAGGTGGGCTCTGGGACCTTGGTCCCCACAAAACGCACTGTAAGGTTCCCAAAGGTGCACAGCCGACCAAGTACAGTGGTTTGGAGGCAAGAATCCTGGACAGAGAAAAATTCAGGCCCAAGGACTGCCACTGGGACCTGAGTACAGGCCCACCCCTCTGCATCTGCTTTATAATATCAGCAGGGACGATGTGGGGACCAATCTTAAATCCACCTCCATCCACCACCTCCCCCATGTCACACAGCTGTTTCAGATAGGTGGGGAAGGATGCTGAAAGGTAAGCTCTAGTGCAAGACACATACCAGGCTATCTCTCTGGAATAGGTATGGGAATCCTACTACTCAGGCCCTGAGCCCCAGGGGCGAGAACCACCCGCCTGCCCGCCTCCTCACTTCTTCTCAAAAGCCTTGTTGGAAGGCTTAAGCGTAGCCAGGTTCTGGAACTCAACGCTCTCGCCTGCCAGGCCGTCTTCGCCGTAGCGCAGCTGCACCACCTGGTTGATGGAGTTCCGCACAGTCGCGTCGTACTTCACCATCACTGACTCCATGGACTTGATCAGCCGCCGCTGGATGTATCCTGGAGGGAAGTAAGGGGATGATAAAGCCCAAAGACCCAGGCTGGGGCCTTAACCTACCTGACTGTCAGAAGAGTCAGCTAGTACTCTCTGTGTCTGAGGCCTTTGAATGCAAACTCAGTGTCTACCACTAGACGGACAAAAAGCCCAGCAGGAACCACTCCCATGGGACAGGCCGGCAGAGCCCCGGAAGCTCTGTCCCTGCACTGTGCAATGCTGCACAGCAATCCAAACAAGGGTGTTTGCCTACTCTTGAGACTCTATTCTTTCCACAAGGGCCAGAATTATACCCTGGGAATAGGAGCCTGAGCATTTCCGCTCCCCACCTGTTAGGGGTTTCTCAGCCTGCAGCAGTCCCTGCTAACAGCCCAAGGAAGACCCCTGAGGAAAGCCTCACCAGTCTCAGCAGTCTTGACAGCCGTGTCAATGAGCCCCTCACGACCCCCCATGGCGTGGAAAAAGAACTCAGTGGGTGTGAGGCCGGCTAGGTAGGAGTTCTCCACAAAGCCACGGCTCTCAGGCCCGTAGTCATCCTTGATGAAGTGAGGCAGAGTCCGGTGCTTGAAGCCAAATGGAATCCGCTTGCCCTCGACGTTCTGCTGTCCAACGACAGCAATGACCTGGGAAACAGAAAGGTGGTGTATACTGAATTCCCTCTGCCTTAAGAATAACAGTTCCCAAAATTTCCCCCAACTCCCGTGATTCTCCTGACCCTAATACATACAAACACCTTCCTTCCTCCTCCCAAACTTCACAGCGGCCCCGTATATGGAAAAACAAGGCTTCTCACCTGGGAGATGTTAATCTTGGAACCTTTAGCTCCGGACACGACCATAGACTTGAAGTTATTGTATTCAGACAGGGATTTCTGAGCAGAGGAGCCAGTCTTGTCTCGGGCATCGTTAAGAATGCGGTTCACCTGATTCTCAAACGTCTGCCGCAGAGTGTTCCCTGGGGTGGGCTCCAGCTCATTGTTGTGTGCCTTCTCGATGACCTGGAGGCAGAGTTCTCGGTGAGACATCAATCCCTACTCTCTGCCCCTTCCCTCTAACCTTACACTCCCTTTGCTCTTGATGATGCTAACTTCGAAGTCCCTGGAAACCCCTTATTCCGTCTCTGGTGGCCTCCCCTCTTACCTCTATTACGTCCTGCTTGGCCTTCTTAATAGTGTTCTGAATGTCCTGGTAAGTCTTAGAATCAGCAATGGAGTCCCCAATGCCAATAGTATGACCTAGAGACAGGGAAAAACATCAGCAAACCCCTTTGGACCTCTAAGAAACATGGAATGGAATTATAGCCAAGAGAGTAGAAGCAGGGGGCACCAAATCCAAGGAGGAAAGAAAGGGATGGAAGGACAGTAAGAAGTTAGAGAATTCACAGAGACGTCTTGGTACCACGCCTCCATGCTCACCCTCGATGAGGAGCCAGTTGTTAATGACAGTCTGAATGTTGGAGTAGAAGAGGCGAGTGATGTCATGACCCATCTCTAGGTAGGAGATGTGGACCAGGGAGCCAGCTGACGTGCCCAGAGACTTCTTACACAGGATGCCCATGATCAGCTCCCCATTCTCCACCACCACCTAAGGACAAAGCACCCACTCAAGGCCCCTGCTCTGGTCCTGGCTCCCACGTCCAAATTCTGTCCTCACATATCCAGAAGCCAAGCCCTACCTTGGTGTCCCCAGGAGAGATGTGCTTGTAAGGGCCACTGTCTTCATCATCGGGATGGGTGCTGTGGGTACGGATACAATTGATGTGACCAGGTATGATGAGGGAGAAGATTTGCTTGCCTGTCCACAGGGGCCGGGGCTTTAGGATGGCCGGCTGTGGGACCTTCCCATCCCACGTCGACAGGAACATCAGGAGGTTCATCACTTCACCCTGTAAGACAAAGAGTAAGGCAGACAGAAGTCAGAGTGCAGGCCCCACATCTCAGGGATGATAGAGAAATGTTGGGGAGGTTTCCCTGCCCAAGGGAGAAAGCCAGATTTTGGAGGCAAAGATGACAGGAAAAGTTTTTTCCAACCTTTAATTTTTTGAGACAGGGTCTTGCTGTTTACCCAGGCTGGAGTGCAATGGTGCAATCAGGGCTCACTGCAACCTCCGCCTCCTGGGGTCAAGCAATTCTCCTGCCACAGCCTCTCAAGTAGCTGGGATTACAGGCACCTGCCACCATGTCCGGCTAATTTTTGTATTTTTGGTAGAGACGGGGTTTCTCTATGTTGGCCAGAGTTGTCTCCAACTCCTGGCCTCAAATGATGTGCCTGCCTCGGCCTCCCAAAGTGCTAGAATTACAGGTGTGAGTCACCATGCCCAGTCCCAAAAACTTTTTTTTTTTTTTTTTTGAGACGGAGTCTCGCTCTGTCGCCCAGGCTGGAGTGCAGTGGTGTGATCTCGGCTCACTGCAAGCTCTGCCTCCCGAGTTCACGCCATTCTCCTGCCTCAGCCTCCCAAGTAGCTGGGACTACAGGCTCATGCCACTACGCCCGGCTAATTTTTTGTATTTTTCAGTAGAGATGGGGTTTCACCGTGTTAGCCAAGATGGTCTTGATCTCCTGACCTCGTGATCCACCCGCCTCGGCCTCCCAAAGTGCTGGGATTACAGGCGTGAGCCACTGCGCCCGGCCCCAAAAACTTTTAATTAAAAATTCATTGTAATACTGAAATTTTTGTTTTTGTTCTTAACAATAAGCATAAATTTCTTTTAATAATTAGGAAATAAGTGAAGGTTAAAATAGAAAAATAAAATTTGAACAAGGTCTTACTTATTTTTCCCTTTATCTTTCCTTTACAGGCAATACCTGGTATTACATGAAATTTTAAGGAATTAAATGGGGAATTAACGCCTTACACCTTTTTGGCCTGAGTTTTCCTAACCCCCTTTTTGTTCGCCCACCAGAAAAGACAATCTCACAGACCACTGCTGGGTAAGTCAGGAAAAAAAACACAGCTCTTCCTCTCTAGCCTCCACCTTGCACCCCAGAGCCCCACTGCCCACTTAAGCCAGGTTTCCATTTGGACCACACACCCGCTCCAGGAAGACGTCTCTCTTGGTGAATTTGCGCACTGCTGTGAGTGTGTCCTGCACAATACCCATGACAGGCCGATTGCTCTGGGGGGTGACAATCATGCGAGGAACCATGGCCAGCTCCTGGATCTCTGCTCGCGTCTCCAGAGACTGTGGCAGGTGCAAGTTCATCTCATCCCCGTCAAAGTCTGCATTGTACGGAGTTGTCACACTACAGTTAAAGAGAAAAGTCAGGGTTGGGAAGATGTCTGCAGCGAAACCTTGAGGAGCCACCCAGCCTGCCCGCCTCCCACCAATTCCAGCCTGCTTCCCTCAGCCAGGGACTGACCTAAGATTCAAGCGAAAGGTAGACCATGGGAGAATGCGGACCCGATGCCCCATCATGGACATTTTGTGCAGAGTTGGCTGCCGGTTGAAGATAACAATGTCCCCATCACACATGTGCCGTTCCACCTAGAGAGGTGAGGTAAGGAAAAGGTCTCAGTGAAGGAGGTATCTAAGAATAAAAGGACAATGGACCTAAAGTCCTTTGCAAGTCCAGTGCAGTGGCTCACACCTATAATCCAAGCACTTTGGGAGGCTGAGGCGGGCACGTCACTTAAGCTCAGGAGTTTGAGACCAGCCTGGTCAACATGGTGAAACCCCATCTCTACTGAAAATACAAAAATAAGCTAGGTGTGGTGGCGCGCGCCTGTAATCCTAGCTACTCGGGAGGCTGAGGCAGAAGAATCGCTTGAGCCTGGGAGGTAGAGGTTGCAGTGAGCCAAGATCACAGCACTGCATTCTACACTCCAGCCTGGGCGATAGAGCGAGACTGTCTTCTTTAAAAAAAAAAAAAAAAAAAAAAAAGTCCTTTGTAAACTGAAAAGAGATGACATCGTGGTGCTAATTCACTTGAAACACTTATTAAACACTCCTCTGGACAAGGCCCTGGGCCAAACACCAGGTTATCAGGGATGAATAATACACAGCATTCACCAATCTCAAGGAACTCAGTCTAGAAGAAAAGCAAGAGAGATTCTGAACATAAAGCCTTCTGCACTGTTCCTCCACGGATCCCTCTTCCCTGCCATATGCAAGCTGCCCCGGGTTTATACCACCCCCACCCTGAATGCCAGAGACCAACAGCTCCCTGCACACCTGGGCAGCAACAGCCTTTAACAAGACAGTCAAGTCTGGATCCCAATGAACGAGACAGACTCAGATGGCCTAACCCAGCCTGCCCTATCTTGGAAAGCTTTCTGCTCAGGTGGCTGAGAGAGGCCCTGGCCTGCTACGTGCCTTATAGCCGGTCTGCAGGTGAAGGTCACTGGGCTTGGGGTGGAAACGCAAGTCAATGCGATCACCATTGTCTCGGATGATGTACTTGGCGCCTGGGTACTGGCTGTTCCCCCTGCGCACTAGTTCTTGAAGTCTAGGAAGGAAAGAGGTGCAATGAACTCAATGCTTCCTAAAATACCCCTGCAGCCACCCTCCCTGAGTGGAAGTTAAACTTCAGAACTTCAATTCCTCCTTGCTCCAAGCCCACGCCCGAGGTAGGAGGAGCAGACTCTCGAAGCCTTGCCACTGAGGCCATGTCTTCCCTAGCCATTCCAGGAAGGGCTTTCCAACGGAGGCACACCTGTCAATGTTGAAGGGGGTGACAATCTCCGCAAAGGTCATGTTGGCAGCAATGGAGCGGGGCACGCCAACCTGGTCAATGGAGAGGTTGGGGTCGGGGGTGATGACAGTACGGGCCGAGAAGTCCACTCTTTTGCCCATCAGGTTCCCTCGCACCCGGCCTTCCTTGCCCTTCAACCGCTGCTTCAGGGACTTGAGGGGACGCCCAGACTTCTGCATGGCCTGTGAGGAAAAAACACAGGGTGGGGGCAATCCAGAAAGTCAGCACTGGGCCCTCTTCCAGAGCTCTGAAGCCTCATGCTAGCCCCCACCCTGGCTCCAATACACAGAGGGGTGGGGAGCATGCTGACTCACACGGGGCAAGCCAGGCAGCTCATTGTCCACCATGGTGGCCACATGGAACTGGAGGAGCTTCACATCCTCTGCAATGACATGGGCCGCTGCGCCGTTCTGCTCATTGCGCCGCAGCTGATTGTTGATCTTCACGATGTCAGCCAGTTTGTGAGTCAGGTCATCCTGAGGCAGGAAGTCAGAATCATCATGGTCCAGCCACCACTGCCAGCGCTCGGCAGGAACGTACCAGGCACACAGCACAGCTCTCATCCTCACACCACCCCAGGAGGCAGGACTGCCCACTATCATTTATAGATTCAGAAACACGTTTGTGGCCTTTAACCATGTGAAAGGACTCATTAAAGATCATACAGCTAGTAAGTAGCAGGGGAATTTTCAAACCCAGGTCCATCCACCCATCCCCACCTACAGGTCTTCCTCCCTTTAGACACCTCGCCCTCCAGCTAAGAGGCAGAGCCCTGGAGCCACTGACCTGGTTACGGGCAGAGCCCTGCATCACAACAGCAGGCCGCACGGAGAGCGGGGGCACAGGCAGCACTGTGACAATCATCCACTCTGGCCGTGCATAGCGGGGCTCCATGCCCAGCACAAAACACTCCTCATCTGAGATGCGTTTGAAGATCTCATGCACTCGCTCTGGACTCAGCAGGATCTTCTTCTCCTGAGAGTCCTCATTAACGTGCTTCCATTCCGCATACAGCTCTAGGCCAGAACGCCGGATCCTGGGCTGGTACCGCCCACAGCCACCATGGCCCTTCCAAGGAGAGACAGGGGCCATCAGAGCCCAGAGGGTGGGCCATTTCCCTCCACACCAGGCCAGCCCCTCCTGTTTCCTTCCCTTCCAGTTTCCTCCCTCCAGGCCTCTGACCCCTCCTTCCCAAAAGTCTCCGCCAGCCCCAGCCACCTTTTCTTTGGTCAGATCCTCGTCACCCTCAGGTTGTTCCACACCGAACTTGTTGTCCATCTCCTCCCCACCCTCGCATATGTTTTTGCCCTTGCAAAGGTCGTAGACATGTGTGAGCCGCTTCTTGGGCTGTCCCTTGGACTTAGCCAGGATATCCTTGATCTTTGGGTTGTTCTGGGGACAGGGCAGAGCAGGGTCAGTTGAAGCTGTCCCCCTGCCCCCTACCAAGCACCCCCGCTCCCAGACCAGAGCCTGTTCCCCACTCACAGAGTCCACAAGCAGTTTGGAGCAGAAGAAGCAGACACAGCGCAAAACTTTCATTGTCTTCACCAGGAAGCCCACGTGAAACACAGGCTTGGCCAGTTCAATGTGGCCAAAGTGGCCAGGACACTCTGTCATGTTTCCTGTGGGACACACACCCAGTGCTTTCCTCCCAGCTCCCACTCATCTCAGAGGCCTCCAGGTGTCAACCGTCAGCCCTAGTTTTGAGGACCCAACCCACCTCCCCTTTGGGATCCCACCTGGCCCCCCAGCACTTACCTGCACATGTTTGGCAGCGGCCAGTCCGCTCAATCACCCCCTGCCTCGGGTCCATCAGCCCCCCAAGCTTGGGGCGGCCTCCCTCAGTCGTCTCTGGGTATTTGATGCCACCCTCCGTCACAGACATTCGCTTCTGCAAAGAAAGAAAGGCCAACAACTGAACAGCGTTCCTAGTTTCTAGCCTTTGTGGCTGGGGAGCTCTGGACTAAGGTCTGGGAAAACCCTGAACTACTTACAGAAGAACTAAGTTTAGCCTGGAGTGAGGGGAATGGGGGATTGGTGTGTGTACACTTCTGAAAAGGCCAAAGTTGAATATCCCAAGTCAGAGGCTTATTCCAGTCACTGAGGCAGGAAAAGCACTCACACTAGATAATGGTCGATCCTGGGTTCCATACAAATCACCTGCTACTGGGACATGAACCCCAGACTTCCATCTGGGTTGAATTCTAGGTCTCTGACATCCATAGGATTTAGCCACAAAAAGAAATCAAAGTTGCTTCAGGAAAAACAAAAAAACAAAACAATGCTTTATTTGTTCCTCCCAAGCAGAAATCAAGCTCATGAATCTGAGATCCTGGCAGAAGCCTCTCTGTACCTGTACCCTCGCCATGACAGCCCAGGTGTTCTGCACCAAGACATGCCCCGCCAACTCAAGCCCCTGATAAGAAACGAGGCACTCAGAGATGCAGCCCTGTTTCTTTTCCCTCATCTTTGTCATGCCCTCCTTCTCAAGGCCTGAACTGCTTGAACCCTTTCGTGTCCAGATGGAGATTTTATTATTGGTTTTGTTTTGTTTTGAGATGGAGTCTCGCTCTGTCGCCAGGCTGGAGTGCAGTGGCGCAATCGCAGCTCACTGCAACCTCTGCCTCCCGGGTTCAAGTGATTCTCCTGCCTCAGCCTCCCAAGTAGCTGGGACTACAGGTGAGCGCCACCACATCGAGCTAATTTTTGTATTTTTAGTAGAGACAGGGTTTCACCAGGTTGGCCAGGATGGTCTCTTGACCTCATGGTCCACCCGCCTCGGCCTCCCAAAGTACTGGGATTACAGGCGTGAGCCACCGCGCCAGGCCAGAGATTTTATTAAAAGACTGGAGAAACAGGTGCTAGAAAAACAGGTTGGTGGAAATGATTTGAAGCAAAAGTGAATAGCTGGAATCCCAAGAAAGGAAGAGCCAGGACTTGATGGGGACATTTCAATGAAGGAAAGGAGGAAACAGAAGAACTCAGAAGTAGATGGGCCGGGTGCGGTGGCTCACACCCGTAATCCCTGCACTTTGGGAGGCTGAGACGGGTGGATCACCTGAGGTCAGGAGTTTGAGACCAGCCTGGCCAACATAGTGAAACCCCATCTCTACTAAAAATACAAAAAAATTAGCTGGGTGTGGTGATGGGTACCTGTAATCCCAGCTACTCGGGAGGCTGAGGCAGGAGAATCACTTGAACCCAGGAGGCGGAGGTTGCAGTGAGCTGAGATCGCACCACTGCACTTCAGCCTGAATGACAGAGCAAGACTCCGTCTCAAAAAAAAAAAAAAATTGTAATGCTATTGTACACTTAGACTTAGTAGACTACAGCATAGTACTAATGTAACATGCACAATGGCAACCAAAAAACTCCATGTGACTTGCTTTATTGCGGTGGGCTGGAACCAAACTCACAGTATCTCCAAGGTATGCTTGGATACTCATTCTCAACTCTCTAATTCCAGGCCTTACTTTTCTTCTGGACTTTGGGTTCACGTATGTGACTACCTACTGAACCCCCTGCAAACATCACACCAAAAAATCAAATTAAACATGTTTAAAAGCAAACTCTCTTTTCCACAAAAGCTTCTCTTTTTCCTTTAGTCTCTATCCCAGATTCAGAAACCTATGCTTACCTTTCCTTACCTTCAAGCACAAAACAGTCCAAAGAACATGGACTTAGCTGTCGGGCACCCTTGCTTTGGAATTCTGCCTATATTACTTATGAACTATGTAACCATTAAGGACTTAATTAGCTTGCTTAAGTCCAGGATGTAATTGGCGCTTTATGAATGGACATTATTATTATTCAGTCATTCACCAGGTACTGGTCACTTTTACCTCCCTTTTTTTTTTAAGAAGTCTTGCTCTGTCACCCAGGCTGGAGTGCAGTGGCGGGAATCTCAGCTGGGTTTACACACATAAGCCACCACGCCTGGCCTCCTAAGTGTTTCTTGAATCTTGCCTCTCTTCTCCATCCCCACCACCATTGCCCTAGTTCAGGCCCTTCCTTTGTAGTCTACAACAGAGCGTTCCTATGGGTCACCAGCCTGTCTCTCTCCAATCCTTCTACATTACAACTGGGGTGCTCATTCTAAAATAAAAATGTGTGCTAAAAATAAATAAAATAAAAATTAATAATAAACTAAAAATGTAATCATTCATACCCTCTTGTCCTCAGACTGACATCCAAACTCAGCAGGACAGCTTCCCAAAAGGATTTTATGATGTTCTCAACCTTCATTTCCCTGATGCTCCACACCTTCCTGTTCACTCCTCAGTAACAATTCCCTGGAGTCGCCTATCACATCCAGCGCAACACGTGCTGCGTTCCTCCGGGGTTTTCTATATGCTAGTGCCTCTCTGCTTGGAATGCTCTTCCCACTGCAAAACTCCTATTTCAAGACTCGGCTCAGGCACTGCTTCCTCCAGGAAGCCTTTCCACAGCCTGCCCAAAGTAGACAGGCACCCCTCCTCTGTGCTTCCACAGCCCTCTATCACTGCACATACAACAATGCAATAAAATGACCTATGGGGGTCTGTCTTCCCTATAACTATAAGCACCTCTCAGGCAGGCAGAATGCCTCAACCATCCTGAATCCCATGTGCCTGCCTGAAACATGGTGGGCTCCTAACAAATGTCTGTTAAATTGACCTACTGCTTAGGACTCTCCACTGGAGGGAGGTACCCTCAAAAAACTTGGAAAAAGAGAGGTTACCCTCTGACAGTCAAACCAGTAATCCCCTCATAATAGGTCTGATTGGCCACTGCTGGGTAGAAACCAAAATGGTCTACAGATGCAAAGCTGAAGAAGTTCTGCACACCTCTCAGCCTCAGACAGGTTCAAAACTCTCATCAACATGACCTGATGAAATCTCAGGAAGACAGTCCTCATGGATGACTACATTTGCAAAGCTGGAACCTCATCAGCTGCATTGTCTGGTGAGAAACATGAAGGGGATTTGCTCACCTTGAATGAGACCAAAAAAAGCGGAAGCAGTTACGTATCTGGCCTCCACAACAGACACTGCAGAGGGGCCTAAGAGAAATCAGGCTCAACATTTTCAACCTCTTTCTGCTCAAAGTCTATGCCGACCAAGCCAACCACCCTTCTAATGACTAATTCTGCTTTCAGGCTTTCTGAGACCGGGTCAGGGGGTGTCCTAGACAGCAGACACGCATATCCTTGTTAATGAGAAGAGCTATCCCTCCATCACCAAGTTCACGAACTCTCATTTTTTATTTTATTTTACTTTTTTTTTTTGAGACAGGGTCTTGCTGTCACCCCGGCTGGAGTGCAGTGGTACAATCTCGGCTCACTGCCACCTCTGCCTCTCAGGTTCAAGTGATTCTTGTGCCTCAGCCTCCCAAGTAGCTGGAATTACAGGTGCTCACCACACTTGGCTAATTTTTGTATTTTTAGTAGAGACAGGGTTTCACCATGTTGGCCAGGATGGTCTCAAACTCCTGGCCTCAAGTGATCCACTCACCTTAGCCTCCCAAAGTGTTGGGATTACAGTCGTGAGCCACCGCACCAGGCCTCAAACTGTCATTTTAAATTAGCCCCCAACCCTTCGGCCAACAATGGTTCTCACTGCCTACAGGATAAAGGTTAAACACTTGAGGGGGTGGCCAGTCAGGCTGGGTTCTCTTTGGGTTCTGCCCCTGAGGCCACAATAACAAAAGGGCTGTCATTGAATCTCAGTAAATACTCGTCCTCTTTCCTCTGCTTTAGCAAAGCTAACAAGGTCCTTATTACAATTTGGCTTCAAGTTGCTTTTACAGCTTTATTTGGTACCACATTCTCCTACCCGCCTCCCACATTTATGTTCTAAATACAATAGATTTCTCAAATCTCCTTTTGCTTCACACACCCCCTTGGGAGTAAACTTCTATTTATTCTTTAAGACCCAGTTCAGAGGTCACCTCCTTATGAAGTCTTCTCTAACTCTTCCTAGTCTTATGCACACCCCAGCAAGGTTCTCAGCCCAATTTTAATTACTTGGTGACACATCTGTCTCTCTCATTGGACTGTAATCCTTGAGGGCAAGGGTCATGTTTTCTCTTCATATCCTCAGCACCTAGCACAGTAACCAACATATGGTTGAGGCTCAGTAACTATTTGCTGCATACATAGGAAATCCCTCACAAGATTATAGGTAACTTGAAAACAAGGATCATCTTCTCACTCATCAATGTAGCCCACACTCTACCTAAAAGAATACATTATTGACCAGGCGCAGTGGCTCAAGCCTGTAATCCCAGCACTTTGGGACGCCAATGCAGGCAGATCACCTGAGGTCAGGAGTTCGAGACCAGCCTGGCCAACATGGTAAAACCCTGTCTCTAATAAAAATACAAAAACTAGGCCAGGTGCGGTGGCTCATGCCTGTAATCCCAGCACTTTGCGAGGCCAAGGTGGGTGGATCACAAGGTCAGGAGTTCGAGACCAGTCTGGACAACACAGTAAAATCCCGTCTCTACTAAAAATACAAAAAAGAAATTAGCTGGGTGTGGTGGCGTGCTCCTGTAGTTCCTGCTACTCGGGAGGCTGAGGCAGAAGAATCGCTTGAATCCAGGAGGCAGAGGTTGCAGTGAGCACAGACTGTGCCACTATACTCCAGCCTGGGCAACAGAGCTGGAGTCCGTATCAAAAAAAAAAAGAACAGATTACTGCTTTAAATCCTTATTTAAATAAGTCAGGGTATAAATAAGTTATGCATTCCATGATAGACAGTTGTTTTTAATGAATAGGGGTCAACTACTGCGAAGGAAATCCAGCACCCTCTTTCCCCAAAATTTTGTGCACACGCTGGTACAAAGCTCTAGTACCAACCCGCCTTGTAACCTTCCCCTCACCTAGCAACATCTAAATCCATCTTCTAACAGCAAGGACAACAGCTCTATCTCAAAGCCAATTCAAAGACCCCTCCGTACCTCCATACACTCTGACCCCTAAGACTTCTGTAAAACATTTTAGCCTAAAATACCACCTGTTTCACAACAAGAGGCACCTTACTCACCCTCACCCATCCTTCTACCCAAAATTGAACCGTCTGTTGGTCCCTCAAAATACAGACATCGTATAAACTGCAAGACATGCAGAGCACTATCGAAGCCCAACAATCCTACACCCCAGAGATGACTCTGGTAGAGCTTTGTCAACAGTGTCCCATACTTTTATTTGTTATTATTCCATCTTGGGTCAGTACAACCTCCGCCTACCAGGTTCAAGTGGTTCATATGCCTCAGCCTCCCAAGTAGCTGGGATTACAGGCACCCACGACTACACCCAGCTGCTTTTTATATTTTTAGTACAGACGGGGTTTCACTAGGCTGGACAGGATGGTCTTGAACTCTTGACCCTCGGGGATTTGCCCACCTTGGCCTCCCGAAGTGCTGGGATTACAGGAGTGAGCCACCGTGCTCAGCCCATTTGTTATTATTATTTTTAAATTGAGATAGGGTCTTGCTGTGTTGCCCAGGCTGGTCCTGAACTCCTGGCCTCAAATGATCCTCCTGCCTCAGGCTCCGAAAGTGCTGGGATTACAGGCATGAGCCACGGCATGCATTTTTTTTCATGCTTTAAAAAAACCGTAAATACGTTCCCACTTTAACATAAGGCCTTCACTCTGCATACTTCTGAGTAACTTTTTCATTTATCCATAGATTCCCTAACATTATCAACAGCCCACAGTGCCCTTACCATTTCAGTAACTCTCACAGCACTTACTAGGTCAAAAGAGAGCCACAGCCGAGCGCGGTGGCTCACACCTGCAATCCCAGCACTTGGGGAGGCCAAGGTGGGCAGATCACTTGAGGTCAGAAGTTTGAGACCGGTCTGGCCAATGTGGTGAAACCCTGTCTCTACCAAAAATACAAAAATTGCCGGGCATGGTGGCGGATGCCTGTGATCCCAGCTGCTTGAGAGGCTGAGGGAGGAGAGTAGCTTGAACCCAGGAGGCAGAGGTTACAGTGAGCTGAGATCTCACCTCTGCATTCCAGCCTAGGCAACAGAGCAAGACTCCATCTTTCCAAGAAAAGACAGCAATTTATTAAGCACCTAGACCCAAACAACTTAAGCATTTATGTCCTAGGAACTTACTAGCCATTTGAGAAAATACACACAAGTTGAAAATACTATTAATATATTAAAACAAAATAACATTTTTATTTCTTTACCAAATAACCATCTCACTCACTTATGGCGCCTGTTAGGCACTGCACCTCTCAAACCTTGGAATCAGACTAAACAGCACCACCTTTATTTCTTCTACAAACTGATTTTTGCCTGTACTTAGCAACTGCTAAAAACCCAGTTTCACAAAAATATGACATTATAGAAAGGGATTTGGCACCATCTAATGTTGAAACAGAACTACCAGGAACTAGGAGTTCCAGGGTATCTGACAAATGTACCTGTGTTTCTCTTGGAAATTTAAAATACCTCACTGTGCCCACCGTGTGCCACAGTGTCTCAGGGCATCAGCACAGTGTGGGACCTTATTGGGAAGTTCCTCTATTACATTGTAAGAATACACCCTAAGTTATTCAACAGGATTCCTATTAGTAAATACCGAGTAATTTATAATTGTCACTTTCAAACAATGTTGCAATAAAAGTCCTTCTACATTATCTATGCATATTTGCCCAATTATTTCATTCACTTGTTTATTCAACTAATTTTTATTACATGTCTATCATGTGCCAGGCACTACCTGAGATACTAAGGGAACATGAATAACACAGACAAAGTCCCTCATGAAATTCATTCTCTAGCAAGGAAGCAAGAAACAGAAAAACTAATCCTTTCTGGAGTGACAGGCTGTGAAGGAAAATATAGCAGAGAATGATCAGAGAAAACAAGGGAAGGGCGGGGGATGCTATTTAAACAGAGTGGTCAGGGAAGCGCTCCTAAAGATATGACATCGGCCAGGCGCAGTGGCTCATGCCTGGAATCCCAGCACTTTGGGAGGCAGAGGAGGGGGATCGCTTGAGCCCAGTTCACCAGCCTAGGTAACATAGTGAGAACCCATCTCTACAACAAATTTAAAAATTAGGCATGGTGGTATGAGCCTGTTGTCCCAGCTACTGAGGTGGGGGTTGGGGGTCTGTCTGAGGTGGGAGCATTTTTTTTTTTTTTTTGAGACGGAGTCTCGCTCTGTTGCCCAGGCTGGAATGCAGGAGCGCAATCTCGGCTCACTGCAAGCTCCACCTCCCGGGTTCACGCCATTCTCCGGCCTCAGCCTCCCAGGTAGCTGGGACTACAGGCACCTGCCACCACGCCCTGCTAATTTTTTGTATTTTTAGGGGAGACGGGGTTTCACCGTGTTAGCCAGGACGGTCTCGATCTCCTGACCTCGTGATCCGCCCGCCTCAGCCTCCCAAAGTGCTGGGACTACAGGTGTGAGCCACCGCGCCTGGCCTTTTTTTTTTTTTTTTTGAGACAGTCTCACTCCGTCACGCAGGCTGGAGTGCAATGGCACAGTATCAGCTCAATGCAACCTCGACCTCCCAGGTTAAACTGATTCTCCTACCTCAGCTTCCCTAGTAGCTGGGACTACAGAGGCGTGCCACCACACCTAGCTAATTTTTGTATTTTTAGTAAAGACAGAGTTTCACTATTTTGGCCAGGCTGGTCTCAAACTCCTGACCTCGTTATCTGCCCACCTTGGCCTCCCAAAGTGCTGGGATTACAGACGTGATTGAGCCTGGCCAGGGAGCATCTTTTGAGCCCAAGAGGCTGCAGTGAGCTGGGATCGAGCCACTGCACTCCAGCCTGGGGGACAGAGGGATACCCCGTGTCCAAAAAAAAAAAAAGATATGCCATTTCAACACAGAACATACAGACATAAAGGAACAGGCATGCAGAGCAGAGGTCTGAGCAACGTTGTTCCAAGCAGGAGGAATAGTGAATAATAAAGTCCTTGAGGTGGGAATAAGCTTGCAGTGTTAGAGGAGCAAGCAGTCAGCGTGGTTCAAGAAAAGCAAAGAGGAGACTAGTAATGAGATGGAGAAGCAAGCAGGAGCCAGATAAAACAGCACTTTATAGGTCAGAGTAAGGAGTCCTGAAACCTCTGGAAAGGATTCTATGAAGGGAAGGGATGAAGAGATCTCTCTAGCCTGTTCTAGCTGTTCTTACAAACTGTAGGAAGACCAATTAGGGCTCTATAGCACCCCACAGGAAAGATGACAGTAGGGTGGGATATGGTGGGACATGGTGGTGGAGATGGTCATAAATGGCTGGATTCCAGGCATATTTTGAAAGGTAGGACTGACACTCTGGCAGATGGACTAAGTGGAGATTGTGAGAAAGAGAATCAAAGATGGCTTTTAGATTTTTGGCCTGAGCAAATGGATGAATGGAGAAACTATTTAATGAACCATGCAAGACTGGGAAAGGGGCATCATTGAGGGGATAATTAAGCTTTTTTAACCTAAGGATGAATTTTTATAAGTGGTAATGCTTGATCAAATGATTTACATATTAAAAGGTTGATAAAATTGTTAGACCAGAGGCCGGGCATGGTGGCTCATGCCTGTAATCCCAGCACTTTGGGAGGCCAAGGCGGGCGGGTCCTCTGAGGTCAGGAGTTCAAGACCAGCCTGGGCAACACGGCAAAACCCCATCTCTACTAAAATACAAAAATAGCCAGGCATCGTGGCACACGCCTGTAATCCCAGCTACTTGGGAGGCTAAGGCAGGAGAATCGCTTGAACCCGAGAGGTGGAGGTTGCAGTGTGCCAAGATCGTGCCACTGCACTCCAGTCTGGGCAACAAGAGTGAGATTCCATCTCGAAAAAAAAAAAATTGTCAGACCATCCTCCAAAAAGGTTATACCAATCTATCTTTCTACCAACAATGTATAAGCACGTCTATTTCCCAGTATTTTTGCCAGCAGGGAAAAAAAATCAGATGAGAAAAAATTTTATTTTAATCTGGATTTTTTTTATTAGAAAGTCTACTCTTTGTTGGCCATTTGCACTATTTCTGTGAACTGCCTATTCATCTCCTTTACCCATTTTTCTAGTAGATAGGTACTTTCCTTACTGATTTGTGTTCCTTGTACATCAATAAATTTAACCTTGTCTGCGTAATTGCAAATACTGTTTCCTGATCTGTTTTTCAGCTTTGCCACAGTGCCTCTATAAACAGAAGTGGCTCTTATTTTTATGTAGTGAAATCTGCCTTGGTCTTCCTTATATATAACGTTTAGCTCATTTTAGGCACTCCATAAAATTTGCCTATAATTAATTCACTACTATTAAGGACTTCTGTCTCTGGTATCAGCCCTGCAAAAGCCTTCTATTTTTTTTCTAGTGCTTTATGGGTTTTTTTAGGTTTAAGTCTTAACTTCATCTGGAACTGATTCTGTGGTATGGTGTGAGGTCAGGACGTTCTGACTCCTGACATAGCTGAACTTTCTCCCAGCAAAAATGGTCTCTATCCACAAACAGCCACTTAACTCCATTCTTTCCAGCCAGTGGGCTCCTCTACTTAGCGCCACAAGGGAAAAAGTCCAAGTCACCAATAGCTCTCCCCTAGGGCTGCCCTCCTCTCTCTGGTCTCTCCTCCTCTCGCATCAGTTCTTCATAGAGCAACTACAGCAGTAGTTTTTTCAAATGTGCTGTCACTCTGTTTATAATTGTCAACGACTACCTACTGAAAATGGAATTAAGTCCTGACTCCTTACCATAATATACAATATCCCATGCTTCTCCAGCCTATTTCTGTAACACTCTTCTCTCATCCACTAAACCTCAGCCACACCGGCCGCCTTTCACCCTGTAGGACAAGCCCAAGTTCATTTCTCCCTCAGGCCCTTTGCACTTGCTATTTCCTCTGCCGGAAAAGCTCTCGCCATCCAAACTATGGCTTCGACGACTGGCTGCCTCTCATCATTTGGGTAATGTCTTCTAAGATAGGCCTTCCCAGACCCTGACGCCATCCCATCTAAAGTAGCCCCACCTCGACGGGCGCGGTAGCTCACGCCTGTAATCCCAGCACTTTGAGAGGCCGAGGCGGGTGGATCACCTGAAGTCAGGAGTTCAGCCATTGCACTCTGGCCTGGGGAATAAGAGCGAAACTCCGTCTCAAAAAAAAAAAAAAAAAAAAAAAGACGGGGGAGAATCACCTCAGGGCAGGCGTTCGAGACCAGCCTGGCCAACATGGCAAAACCCCTCCTCTACTAAAAATACAAAAATTAGCGGGGCATGGTGGCGCATGCCTGTAATCCCAGCTACTCAGGAGGCTAAGGCAGGAGAATCGCTTGAACCCGGGAGGCGGAGATTGCAGTGAGCCGAGATCGTGCCATTGCACTCCAGCCTGGGCGACAGAGCAAGACTCCGTCTCAAAAAATAAAATAAAATAAAAATAAAAAAATAAAGTAGCCCCAGCTCAGTGACTCTCCATGGGATTACCCCTTTTCACTCTATTCGAGACAAATGCCATTAACTGAATTATCTCATTCATTCATTGTATTCATGTTTACTGCTTGCCCTTTCCCACAGACAGTGCTCTTGAAGGTAGGGTCCTGGTCTGTCGTGTTCACCTCTGTAACCCGAGTCTCCTGTGTCTTCAACAGAGCAGGTGCTCAGTTAACATTTGTATTACAGAAGAGGAGGAAGCTACCCGGGTTTGGCTTCTTAACCAAACTTGTAAAGACTCCCTAGGATTCGTCGGATCGCCTTTAACGTCGGTAACTCTGGAGTGTGAAATCAGTCATCCTTCTCTCCCTCCTTCTCACCCTCCAGCCAGCCCCCCATCTCGGACAAAGCGCTACGCCTGCTCAACTCTTTGCAAAATATAACTCTGGGAGGCCCGAGACTGGCGCCTACACGGCCTTGGCGCTGCTGAGCCATGCTCCTGGCCCGTCACCCATAAGCAGCGAGAAAGCGCCAAGTTTCCGCAGCCCCCGTCCGGCCCCGCCCGCCAGGGGAGGAGGGGGGAAGGGGAGGACAGAGCCGCTTACCAGTTCATCCGGACTCAGGACTCCGAACTGGACTCTCTTGATGGTGCGCAGCGGGCATGCGCTGTCCCCCGAGGGGGGGCCACCCCCGTGCATGGCGGAGGCAGGCGCGCTGCGCAGGCGCAAACCTCACTACAAAAAGCCTGCGCCGCCTCCGCCTAGGTGCTCAGACCTCGTCAGGGCGGCCACCGGGAAGGACCTCCCCGAGTTGGGAGGAAAAAGCCGGAGGAGGGGAAGGTGGGGGAGGGAAGGAGGCGGGGAAATAAGGAGCGAAAGGAGCCCTTCTTTCCCTTACCGGAAATTTTTCAGCTCCCAAAAAGGAAAAAAAAAGAAGGGAAAAGGAAAAGGTTTTTGGGGGAGGAAGAAGAAAAAGGGTAACGAATAAATAAGTAACCGGGTTCCTGAACGGCAGAGGTTACGGCAGTTTGTCTCTCCCCCTTCCGGGAGCCGCCTTCTTCTCCAACCGTCCCGGCCGCGCTCTCGGCGCTTCTGAGCAGCGAACTCGCTGAACGACGCTTCTTATAGATTCGCCCTCGCGTCCCCGCCCCTTCCTTTCCCGCCCTCCCTTGCGCTACGGGGCCGCCTGCGCAGGCCCGCAAGGGGTGCGAGCCAGAGTCGTGGGTAAACCCCCCGCTCGCTGGTTGGGCGACCTTTTGAAGTGACAGGGAGAGAAGAATTTTTTTCTTTAATCCCACCGCCTCTCCTCGCTGCTCCCTTTTGCACTGAGGCTTAAGGTTTGAAGACTCGAGGGTAAAATTGGGCCGCTTTCATTCTAGTTTGGACAACGGTTTCATCTTCAGCAAAAGCCTCTCATTCGTAGCCCCCCCCAGCTGGAAAATGGTCTGCTCTGCGAATCGGTAATGGCGGCGGGGCGGGGCGGGTCCTCCCGGGGAAGGGCGGTTGCTCATGAATATGCAGTTCTCTTGCTGAATATGCATGAACAAACCAAGATGGCAGGACCAGTGGCTTGTCCGGAAGTAGCCGATGTTTGTCAAACGGCCCCCGGAGACGGGTGGGCATCTCCTGGCCTGTAATGCCGCGCTGTACCGAGCCATGATCCTAGATCCATGGCCTGAGCCTCTCGAAGAGACTTCAGCTGGGAGGCCTGCTCTGGAAGGAGGGTGGCCACTGTCCGGGAGAGATCACGGGACCGCGACAATCCGAGAAAAGCAGATTAGCCATGGGGCGGGCCACGAAAGTCCTGGGGGATTTGGGGTCAAGGCATCTGAACATTAGGAAATCCTCCACTTTGTAGAATATTTCAGGAATAAAATGGGGGGCGGGGATCCCAAGGGGTTCTCCAATGAGAACGGTCGTAGGACTTTCCACTCTCCCTCCAAAGCAGAGACGACACCACTGCAAGCCACATTCAGAGTAATCCTTGTTTGATGTCAATGTCACGTCACCACCCCAAGGGGGGGGCACAAGCACGAGGAAAGGAAACCTTTGCCGTGAGGGGAGGGGTGGGGAGGCACGCTCCCCTCCCCCACCGCAGCTGCTGGCTCTGTCTTTGCCGGAACACTCCAGCCCCAATGCTCTTCTCTTTGCTGCTGAGTGAAGTCCTCCCCGTGGCCCACGGCCTCCCTGCCTCAGCCGTTTGGATCTGCTCCTCAGACTTTACCCCTTAGTTATGCCCTGATTCCAGGACCCAGCCTGGTCTCCACATCCCTTGGTCCCAGGCTGGCCCCAGGTCTTCCAGGTAGTCCCTCTCCACCAAGTCCCCAAGTCACCCTTGACTCTGAGAGGTATCCCTCTCCCACACCAGTTCTTTTCCAGTCACTTCTCCTCCCATGTTTGTCTTCAGTCTTTGCCTCTATTTATCCCTGTCCCTCCCAACCCCCGGGCTCCCAAGTTCTATCTCACTCCTCCACCTTCCCTTCCCTCTCACAGCTGAGGTTCCAGGCTGTGATGATGGCAATGCTGCCCAGCACAACCCCTGCCCCCACGATGTCAGAAGGTGCCACAGTCTCATGGAGCATATAATACTGCAGTATAAGGGCCACCACCACCTCGGAATGCAGGACAGCGCACACCAGGGCAGGGTGGGCCTTGGTGACCGCATAGCTCACACATGTGAAGGAGACCAAGGCGAGGATCCCCACTGCCCCCACACAACTCCAACTCGGGAGATCACTGGGCAACACGGGGGGCTGCAGCACAAAGAGGCCTGGCACAGAGCCCAGCAGCCCCACCAAGCCAGATAGGAAGGCCACTGTTGGGAGGCAGGAGGGAAAGTGCAGAGAACGATAGACCAGAAGCCCCAGGGACAGCGCCAGTCCTCCCACGAAAGCCTGCCCATAGCCCAGGGCGGTGTAGACACCCGTGATCCCCTCCTGTAGTGTCCAGAGTCCAGGTCCCACAATGATGATTAGTCCTAGGATGCTGCCCAACAGTCCACACCAGTCGTAGCCACTGAGACCCTGGCTCTCAAGGCAGAGGGTGAGGACGGCGGAGCAGACGGTGGAAGAACCTTTGCGAACAGTGGCAGCGTTGCCAGCGGGCACCACCTGAACCGCACTGTAGGCACATCCAATGCTGAGGACGTTGAGCAGGGCATAGAAGTAGGCCCGGCCTCGGATGTCAGGAGGTCCCAGAAGGGGGTCGCCACGCAGTTTAAGTAGCAGGGCAATAGGGAGGTGGAAGAGGCATCGACAGATGAGCAGCTCCAGCGAGGGCAGGTTGGAAGCCTGGTAAGCCATATGAGAAAGGGGGCCCACGAAGCCAGCAGGCAGGCCCCCACCCAGCAGGGCCACCAGCAGGCCATTGGTGGCATCAGAGGGCTGGCAGCACTGGTGCCAGCGGAGGCTGGGTGGAGCGGAGGGCGGCGATGGGTGTGTGGAGTCAGGCGGGTTCAAGTAGGGGTGACTGCCAGCCTGTTAGGGAGAAAGGAGCTCAGGGTAGACAGCAGCCGCAGCCCAGGCGACCTGGGGCAGGGCAGATGCCAGGATGGGGTCTGGGACCCTGTGGGACTGTACAGTGTTGGGCTATCTTGCTGAGGAACTCTTCGGAGCTAGAAAGGGCCTAAAAGATGAGTGAGATGTTATAATGTGGGCCTGGAGCAGGAAGCAAGGAGTGAGCAGTCCTGGAGCATCGTTTCCCTGGGTAAGTTGTTCCTGGGAGGAGAAAAAGGACCCAGGATGCTCTCTCGGATTGAGGAAGGGGAGGAAGCCTCAGATGCTATGCATCTGTATGATGCCACAGGTTCCAGAGACATCTGGGTACACCATTATGAATTCTATTTGTGGGTATCTCTGAGACAGCTAAGTTTTAGGAAAGGAGGGGAAATGGAGCAACCAGGAGCTATAGGGAGGGAGTACTAGGCCCCTGGCCCCCACACTCACCATCTTTCCTTGGACTTTCTCCTCTCCTCCTGGCTCAGGGAGCCTGGGCCCCTCAGAGCTCCAGCCATTGTGACATGGTTGGAGTGGGGGTGGGGTTCTTCCCTGGAACTCTCCTGAGGTGGTAGCACGCCTATTTTCCCGCTGAGTCCAACTCTGCTTCTTTTCTTTCTTTCTTTCTTTTTTTGTTTGCGACGAAGTTTCCACTCTTGTTATCCAGGCTGGAGTGCAATGGTGTGATCTCATCTCACTGCAACCTCCACCTCCCAGATTCAAGCGATTCTCCTGCCTCAGCCTCCCAAGTAGCTGGGATTACAAGAATGTGCCACTACACCTGGCTAATTTTTTTTTTTTTTTTTGGGACGGAGTTTTGCTCTTCTTGCCCAGGCTGGAGTGCAGTGGTGCGTGCAATCTCGGCTCACCGCAACCTCCACCTCCTGGGTTCAAGCAATTCTCCTACCTCATCCTCCCAAGTACCTGGGATTACAGGCATGTGCCACCACACCCCGCTAATTTTTTATTTTTCGTAGAGATGGGGTTTCTCCATGTTGGCCATGCTGGTCTTGAACTCCTTACCTCAAGTGATCCACCCCACCACCCCCCGCCTCCCAAAGTGGTGGAATTACAGGCATGAGCCACCGTGCCCAGCCCAACTCTGCTTCTTTTCTATTTATGTCTCCATGACTCCAAAGTTTGTCTGATTCTTTTATTCTTTTTATGGCTAGCTCTGTGGCTTTACATTAATTTGTTTATTTATATCTTGCATGGTTTCAGAGAGGTTTTTTTGTTGTTGTTTTTTTTTTGAGACGGAGTCTGTCTCTGTCGCCCAGGCTGGAGTGCAGTGGCGAGATCTCGGCTCACTGCAAGCTCCGCCTCCCAGGTTCACGCCATTCTCCTGCCTCAGCCTCCCGAGTAGCTGGGACCACAGGCGCCCGCCACCACGCCCGGCTAATTTTTTTGTATTTTTAGTAGAGACAGGGTTTCACCGTGTTAGCCAGGATGGTCTCGATCTCCTGACCTCGTGATCCGCCCACCTCGGCCTCCCAAAGTGCTGGGATTACAGGCGTGAGCCACCGCGCCCAGCCTCAGAGAGGTTTTAAGGCAAGGAGCTGTGAACCCTGGCTCCTCCATCTCCTTAGTTTTTAATTTTCCAGCACCAGGGAGGAGTTCTTGGGATTGTCCCTGTGGAGTTTCAGGAATGTGTTTTTTCTGTGTGTGCTTCCACCTGGTGTTTTGTTGATGCTGTCCCCAGAGGCCGACACCAAGGCCTCTGCATTTATGTTCAAGTATACAGATGTGGATCTATCTGCTGGTGGGGACAAAGTACCCAGCCAGCTTCATGTGTTCATTTGCGCTGGTGGTCGTTCGTGTGTGCCCCGTATGCAGGGCCAGGGCCTTCTTTTTCCGCGGCCTGCTGAGCTTTCCTGCGCATTCCTGGAGAGGGTGTGTGTGTGTGTCCAGGGCTGGCCCTCTTTGAGTGTGCCGACCCTGGGTCTGTGAGTCCCACCGGGCCTGATTATGAGTCTGCCATGTCATGTCTGCACCCTGAGAGCCTGTGTGTTATGCTTTCAGGCAGTGTGCACCGCTGAGTGAAGGGCGTGCAGGAGGAAGGGCGGAGGGAGCCCTTTCCCTGGGGGTCGGTGGTCTTGCGCCCCTGCCGGGATGCTGCAGCCCGGCCCGCGCCCCGCTCGGTGTCCACCCGCCCGGTGGCCCAGCGCGGCGCAGTGTCATGCCGCGGGGGTCAGTCCTGGGGAAGGCCGTCGGGCGCTCGGAGCTTTGTGTCGGTGTCGGCTGCGCTGCGCCGGCCTCCTCTCGGCGGCGGCGGCGGCGGCGCTGGGGGGGGACTGTTTCCGGGGGTGGGGGTGGGGGTAGGACCGGGGCGGGGGGAGCCGATGATGTCAGCGGCGGCGGCGGCGGCGGCAGCGGGGCCGGGCCGGGGCCAGGCGCTGGGGGGGCCAGGGCCGGAGCTGGAGCCGGAGCCGGAGCTGGAGGCGGGCAAAACCGGAGCGGCCGGGGGCGGCCACGGTGATGAGCCGGGCCTGGCGGACGCGGCGCCATCGCAGTCAGGTGGGCCCTGGGGCGAACTGGGCAGGGCCAGGGCGGACCGGAGCCAACTGCCAGGCCCCCTCTCCGCTGCCCGGCGCTGCGGGAGCCCCGACCGCGCCCCGCGCCCAGACCGCTCTCCTTTGGGGTTGACCTGGGGGCGCAGGGGTCGGGGGCTGAGCCTGGCCCCGCCCCCGGGCGCGCACGACGCTGGGGGGCGACTAAGGGGGCCCTGGTATGGCGTCCGAGCGAGGGGCGGCCGTGGGACGCGATCGCCTGGGGCCGTGGAAGGGGAGGTGCTCACTCCCTCTTTGAAGGGTTAATTCTGCAGCCTAATGGCCCCCTCCCCCCGTGGGGCAGATTGGGGGTGGGGTGGGGCGGGTGTGAGCCCGGGCAAGCGCTGCAAGCTGCTGGGAGGGTGATGGCGTAGGAGCCAGGCAGAGAGGGGGAGGGGTGGGCCGCCGAGCGCCCCAGAGTTGGGGTGTGCGGGGTGCGCAGGGCGAGCTGGGGCCCCGGAACCGCCGCGCCGTCGGGGCAGGGTTGTGGCTGTGAGTCTTGGAGATCGTGTGTCTTGTGCTGTGTGGTGGGGCAAGGTAAACCTCTCCTGGGCACCACCGTTTGCTGGCAGCCAGGGGTCTGGGTAGGGCCCTCCCTGGGCCATGGAGATAGAAAGCCAGGAAGGGTGTCCAGTGTTGTGGGGCAGAGTTACAAGACGAGCCCTGTGGCTTTGGGTGACAGATGGGTATTCTGAGCAGGGCACAGCATGCTGGGTGCAGAGTTTGTTCGATGTGGGGCTGTATGTTTTCTACAGCATGTGTTTTCTCGCATGTGTGTCTTGTGCTGCACCTATGACCTGTTTATGAACTGTTTTCTGCAGAGCTGGCATGCTGTATGTGTTGCGGAGGGTGCCAGGATGCAGTGTATGTGCCCTTTTGGAGGGGGCGGTTGTGGGCCTTTGAGTCAGAAGGCGTCACGTCTGGGTCCCATTTCTGTGGCCCTGCTGAGGTGTGGTCCAGTGGTGAAGAGGGCGATGGATGGGTTTGCGTGTCTGTGATGAGCGCGTTGCATGGGGGCTGCGCGTCTAGAACTCAGATCCCAAAGATCATGAGAGGAGCGAGGAACCCCGGGGTATGTCTCAGGGGCCTGTGGGTCAGTTGGCACTGGTGTGAGGGGCTCGAGGTGGAATGCGCCAGTTGTGTTTATGGGATCATGGGCAGCCAAGCGAGGGGAAGGTTGTGTGTTTGCAACATTCTCCACAGGATTCTTTTGTGACGTTGTTTGTAGGAGCCTGTCTGGGCTGCTGAGCTGGGAGGCAAACTGGTCAGAAAACACATGTGGGGAGGGAGGTGGCGTGACAAGGGCAGTGTGGGCCTCAGACCCAAGAGGCCAGCCGCAAGCAGGCTGTGTGTGCGTGCCTGCCGTCTGTGTGCTTAAGTGGCGGTGGGGCTGCGGAGGGGATTTGGTATGAGGAAGGCGGGAGATAAATGCAGGGTAGCGCATGGAGGCCGGCGGGAGGCATGGGTGTTGTCAGATGGCCCAGCTAATCTTTGCAGGGTCTGTATGTTTGCCCCTCATGAGCCTGCCCAGCGTGTCAGGGTCACCCGGAGGAGAGGCTGGGCGGCCACAAGGGAAGTAAGCTTAGACAGAGAGGCTCCTTGGCCATGTTTATGTAAAGGCTGGGTGTGACTCTTGTCACTAAAATGGAAAAAAGAAACGTGAAGTTTTCAGCCTCCTCCTGCTTCACCCTCTCCCTCTCTCTGCCCCCCTTGTGGGTATCTCTGACGCACACTGGGCCCCACTCCTGCGACGGTGGAAGGGCCTCAGAACAGAATTCGCTCACTAGGCAGATTCCTCAGAACAGGTTTTCCTCACCTTTGGGGACTGGGCCCTTCTAGGGGTGTGTGTGCAAGTGCATTCCAAGCCTGCACACCACTGTCTACTGTGCCCGGCCCCACTGGAAGGATGTGTGTACGTGGGGGAAGGGAGGGTGCTGCGGACAGGCCCTCCGGCATGGGGGGCTGGGAAGGGGTGGCTGCCGTGGGAGCCTGCTCAACAGGTGCACAGTGACGGTCTGGTGAAGAGAAAGGAGCCATGGTCCAGGGCTGAGGAGCTCTGGCGTCTTTACCATTCCCTCACTGGCACTTGATCTGAAGGAAGCTCAGTTCCTCATCTGCAGAATGGGGCTGATTGTCTGCCCTGCGTATCTTCCAAAAGCACATGGGAAACGGACCCGGAAAGTGGCTATAGTCTGGGGGCTGTGCCTATGCCAGCCCCTGTCAGCCCTCCCCCAGGACTGGGAATTCCCTTCTTGGGGCTTCGCTGATAATAATGGCAGCACACACTTGCTTAGCACTGACCGTGCACCAGCCTGTCCTCAGGGCACTTATATGTGGCCACTCTGTCCTCAGAACAACACCCTGAAGTAGGCACTCTACCTCCCTTTTTCAAGTGAGGCAGCTGAGGTCCAGAGAAGTTAAGTAATCTGCCCCAAGTCACTTAGCTAGTAAGAGGTGAAGCTGTATTTGAACCCGGGCAATCAGGTTGAAGATCTTGTGCTCTTAACTACTGTACTCTGCTGCCTTCTGGAACATTCAGTGGATGGTCCTTTCTGTGCAACTCCCTCCAACACTCTTCTCCCCAGTTGCTGCAGAACTTAGCATTTGCAGCAGTCCATTTCAGAAGACCCGGATGCTCAGGGATCCCCAGCTGAGGGCATGAGAACCTGAGTCTCTGCTGCTGTGTAAGGTGGATGCTGGCCATAGGAGCACAAAAGGTTGATGAGTCAGAGGAAGGAATGATCGTTCTCATCCTGTGGATCAGGGAGGGCCAAGAAGGAGGTGGCCTTGGAGTCAGATCTTAACGTTTTGGAGGGATTTTGACAAGCTTGGGGAAAGAGCATTTCTGGCAGAACAAGCCAGCACAGGCAAAGGCATGAAGGTGTGGGTCATGTAGAAGCTGGAGAGCACACTGGGTGTCTGGGGTTTTGTTCATTTGTTTAGAAACTGGGTCTCAATATATTGCCCAGGCTGGACTCAAACTCCTGGGCTCAAGCAATCCTCTAGCTGCAGCCTCCTGAGTAGCTGGGACTATGGGTATCTGCCATCACGCCTGGCTCACGCTGAGTACTGTGTGTTTGAAGAGGATAACACAAGGCAAGATTAAAAAGGAAGATTGGAGCTAGACCAGAGCCCTTGACTGCCTGGTAGAAGAATTTGAACTTTCTTCTAGAGTCAGTGGGGACCAGTGGAGGTTTTGAGCCCAGGAGTGATAGTCCTGAACTGTGGTTAGGGACGTTGACCCTCAGGGGGAGGAGGGCTGGATGGAGGAAGGTAAGCCTGGAGGCCAGGGGATAGCTGGGAGGCCATAACCTTGGACCACGTGAGTGTTAACAAGGACCTGAGCTATCGAAGGGAAGATTTCCAGAGCCATTCCCAAGCTCGGCGGCGATTTCAGCCACACTTGATGACTGCTGGATGTGGAAGTGAGGGAAAGGGTGGAGTCAGACATGACACATTTAGCACTTAGCACGTGAGACCTTGTGCGGTGGTTTATGTAACCAGCTGGCGGGCCATAGGCCTCTTCAGGGCCAGGTCTAGCAGTATGGCAGAGGGAAAGATTGAGCATCTGGGGTCAGCTGGGCCTGGATTCGAATCTTGACTGCTGCTTACAAGCTGTGCGACCTCGAGTAAGGTATATCCCTCTCTGAGCCTCGGTTTCCTCTTCTGTAAAATTAGAATAATATGGCCGGGCGCAGTGGCCCATGCCTGTAATCCCAGAACTTTGGGAAGCCAAGGCAGGTGGATCACCTGAGGTCAGGAGTTCAAGACCAGCCTGGCCAACATGGAGAAACCCTGTCTCTACTAAAAATAAAAAAACTAGCTGGGCGTGGAATCCCAGCTACTCTGGAGGCTGAGGCAGGAGAATTGCTTGAACCCAGGAGACGGAGGTTGCAGTGAGCCGAGATCACGCCACTGCGCTCCAGCCTGGGCAACAGGATAATATAAAACCTATTGTGGGTGGCTGTACTGAGAATATCATTAAATGAGGTAATGTGTGTGAGGCCCCAAGAAGAGTATGAGGCAAATTGTGAGGACTCCAGAGTGGTCAACTTATTTATGGTTTCTTTTAATTTTTTTTTGAGACGGAATTTCTCTCTTGTTACCCAGGCTGGAATGCAATGGCATGATCTTGGCTCACTGCAACCTCCGCCTTCCGGGTTCAGGTGATTCTCCTGCCTCAGCCTCCCGGGTAGCTGGGGTTACAGGCGCCCGCCACTACGCCCAGCTAATTTTTTATTTTCAGTAGAGACCAAGTTTCACCATGTTGGCCAGGCTGGTCTCACCATGTTGGCTAGGCAGGTGGTCAATCCCTGACCTCAGGTGATCCACCTGCCTTGGCCTCCCAAAGTGCTGGGATTACAGGCGTGAGTTGGCCATACCTGGCCTTTTTTTTTTTTTTTTTTTTTTTTGAGGCAGAGTCTCACTCTGTCGCCCAGGCTGGAATGCAGTGGCGCAATCTCTGCTCGCTGCAACCGCCACCTCCCCGGTTCAAGCAATTCTCCTGCCTCAGCCACCTGAGTAGCTGGGGTTACAAGCGTGCACCACCACACCCAGCTAATTTTTGTATTTTTAGTACAGATGGGGTTTCATCATGTTGGCCAGGCTGGTCTGGAACTCCTGACCTCAAGTGATCTGCCCGCCTCAGCCTCCCAAAGTGCTGGGATTACAGGTGTGCGCCACTGTGCCTGGCCCAGAAGTGGTCAAGTTATAATTGTCATCCCTATCTCCAGGCCAACTCAGTCCAGCGTGGACGATGGCTTCCATCCTGGAGGATGGACTTTGAGGACAGGTTCATTCATTTACCAGTTTTTTTGTTTTGTTTTTACCACCTATTACGTGCTAGGCCCTATTCTAACGACTTCAGATACGGCAATGAACAAAGCAGACAAAATTCCCTACCCTTGGCCGGGCGCTGTGGCTCACACCTGTAATTCCAACACTTTGGGTGTCCAAGGCGGTGAATTGCTTGATCCCAGGAGTTCGAGACCAACCTGGGCAACATGGTGAAGCCCTATCTCTACTAAAAATACAAAAAATTCGCTGGGCGTGGTGGCATATGCCCGTAGTCCCAGCTACTTGGGAGGCTGTAATGAGAGAATCACCTGAGCCTAGGGGAGGTCAAGGCTGCAGGGAGCTGTGGTAACACCACTGCACTACAGCCTGGGTGACAAAGCAAGACCTCATGTCAAAAAAAAAAAAAGTCTGGCCATGGTGGCTCATGCCTGTAATTCCAGCGCTTTGGGAGGGAGGCCAAGGCGGGTGGATCACCTGAGGTCAGGAGTTCGAGACCAGCCTGGTCAACATGGTGAAACCCTGTCTCTACTAAAAATATAAAAATTAGCCGGGTGTGGTGGCATATGCCTGTAGTTCCAGGTTTTTGGGAGGCTGAGGCAGGAAAATTGCTTGAACCCAGGAGGCAGAGGTTGCAGTGAGCCGAGAGAGATCATGCCACTGCACTCCAGCCTGGGCAACAGAGCAAGATGCCATCCATCTCAAAAACAAAACAAAACCAAAAACATTCCTACCTTTTACCCCTTGGAGCTTACATTCCAGAGATAAATAAGAAATAGGAGCTGGGCGCAGTGGCTTTCCACTATGATCCCAGCACTTTGGGATGCTGAGCTGGGCGGATTGCTTGAGACCAGGATTTCAATACCAGCCCTGGGGAACATGGTGAAACCTCATCTCTACAAAAAATACAAAAATTATCTGGGCATGGTGGCAGGTACCTGTAGTCCCAGCTACTCAGAAGGCTGACAGGTGAGAGGATCATTTGAGCCCAGGAGGTTAAGGCTGCAGTGAGCCTCAATCTCACCATTGTACTGCAGCCTGGGCAACAGAGCAAGATCCTGTCTCAAAAAAAGATAAATAATTGACCAGGCTCTGTAATCCCAGCACTTTGGGAGGCTGAGGCGGGCAGATCACCTGAGGTCAGGAGTTTAAGACCAGCCAGGCCGACATGGTGAAACCCCATCTCTACTAAAAATACAAAAATTATCCGGGCCTGGCCAGGCGCGGTGGCTCATGCCTGTAATCCCTGCACTTTGGGATGCCGAAGTGGGCAGATCACAAGGTCAGGAGATGGAGACCATCCTGGCTAACATGGTGAAACCCCGTCTCTACTAAAAATACAAAAAAAAATTAGCCGGGAGTGGTGGTGGGTGCCTGTAGTCCCAGCTACTCCGGAGGCTGAGGCAGGAGAATGGCGTGAACCCGGGAGGCGGAGCTTGCAGTGAGCCAAGATCGCACCACTGCACTCCAGCCTGGGCGACAGAGCGAGACTCAGTCTCAAAAAAAAAAAAAAAAAAAATGGTGGCGCGCGCCTATAGTCCCAGTGACTCGTGAGGTTGAGGCAGGAGAATCTCTTGAACCCGGGAGGCGGAGGTTGCAGTGAGCCAAGATTGTGCCACTGCACTCCAGCCTGGGCGACAGAGCTAGACTCTGTCCCCCGCCGCAAAAAAAAAAGAGAAGCAGTTGGGCCAGTTTCAGTGGCTCATGCATGTCATCCCAGCACTTTGGGAGGCCGAGGCAGAAGGATCACTTGAGCCCAGGAGTTCGAGACCAGCCTGGCCAACATAGAGAGATCCAATCTCTACTAAAAATAAAAAATAAATTAACTGGGCATTGTGGTGTGCACCTGTGGTGCCAGCTACTAGGGACGCTGAGGTGGGAGGTCATGAGAGCCTGGGAGGTTGAGGCTGCAATGAACCATGATTGTGCCACTGCACTCCAACCTGGGCAACGGAGTGAGACCTCATCTCAAAAAAAAAAAAAAAAAAAAAAAAAGAATGGCCAGGTGCAGTGGCTCACTCCTATAATCCTGGCACTTGGAGAGGCAGAGGCGGGCAGATCACTTAAGGTCAGGAGTTCAAAACCAGCCTTGCCAGCATGGTGAAACCCCACCTCTACTAAAAATACAAAAAAATTAGCCAGGCTGGGCGCGGTGGCTCATGCCTGTAATCCCAGCCCTTTGGGAGGCCAAGGCAGGTGGATCACGAGGTTGGGATTTCAAGAACAGCCTGGCCAAGATGGTGAAACCTCGTCTCTACTAAAAATACAAAAATTAGCCGGACGTGGTGGCAGGCGCCTGTAATCCCAGCTACTCGGGAGGCAGAGGCAGGAGAATCGCTTGAACCCAGGAGGCGGAGGTTGCAGTGAGCCCAGATCGCACCACTGCACTCCAGCCTGGGCGACAGAGCTGGACTGTGTCTCAAAAAAAAAAAAGAAAAAGTGTTACTAAGTGCCAAGGAGCAAAATAAAGTAGGGTCGGGAGATAGGAAGTTTTAGAAGGTGGGGAGTGGCCAGGGAAGGCCTCAGGGGAAGGTGGCTTCTAAGTCAAGGCTTAAAGGAAGTTGGGGTTCACTGCATGAGGCTATCTGGAGGAAAGAACATTCCAGCCAGAGGGAACCGCAAGATGTAGGGCGTCTCTGGTGTCCATGCTCAGATCCCCACCTCAGTGGCACATCTGAGGTCACACAGGCACTGAAGAGTAGAGAAATGGTAAGAACAAACAAATAAAAAACTCTAAAACCACAGAGCCACCAAACCTACCAGGAAGCCCAATTTGTGCCTTTTTTTCTTCACTACTTCTCCCCACCATTTTCCAGGACTGAGTTCTACAAACTAAATATTGCCAGTTGTTAGCTCATTTAATCTTTACAACAACCCCACAAGGTAGGAACTATTAATTGTCCCCACCGTATGGACAAAGAAACAGATACAGAGAGGTTAAGTAACCTGCCTGGGGTCACATAGCTAGTCTTTTCCACTTCCTATAAGGCCTTGCAGGGCAGTAGCCAGGATAGGGCAGTTTAACTCAAGCTGCGTCCAAACGCTGGGTTGGCTAGCAACAAAACCAGAGGCAAATAACCCCATCACTACCTACCTTCTACCTGAAAGGGAGGAGTTTAGAGTATTTGATTTCTCTAAGCCTGTTGTCTCACTGGCCATTTTGAGTGTTGAAATGAGATGATACAGATAAAATGCTTAGCATTATACTTTGCACATCATAAGTATTTCAAGCCTGGGCAACGTGGCAAGACCCCATCTCTACAAAAGTAAATAAATAAATTAGCCAGGCATTGTGACATAAGCCTATGGTCCCAGATACTCCGGAGGCTGAGGCAGGAGGATCATTTGATTCCAGGAGGTCCAGGCTGCAGTGAGCAATGTTCACACCACTGCACTCCAGCTTGGGCAACAGAATGAGACCCTGTCTCAAAAAAAAAAAATTTTTTTCATAAATGGCAGCTACAGAGACCATGATGACAATGATTGTGTGTGATCTTAAGGGCCAGTCCAGCATTGGGTGTCTCTAGTTCTAAGAAGCCCTGACAGGTCTCGTCCAAGTACTGTGGTAGTCAGCACACGGTCACACATGCATAGCCCACCACATATGGTTGTGCAGGTTGGCAGGCCCAGCCAGTGGGGTGAATGGGGACTGGAGGCAAAGCTTGACTTTGCCCACCTACACAGGGCTGCTACCTCCTGGAGGAAAGAACCTTGCTTCTAATTTTCAGAAAGGCACCCAGGTAGGATATTTGTGCCCTAGTGGGTGCCATAAACACGTCCTTCGTTAATATATGGTGAAGTCATCAGGAACACAGGCTTTGGAGCCAAACTTCCTGGGATCAGATCCCAGCCCTGCTACTAGCTGGTCATACGTCCTTGGGCCAGCTACCTAGCATTGATAAGCCATAATCTGACATTTTATTTATTTATTTTGAGACGAAGTTTCATTCTTGTTGCCCAAGCTGGAGTGCAATGGTGCAATCTCGGCTCACTGCAACCTTTGCCTCCTGGGTTCAAGTGATTCTCCTGCCTCAGCCTCCTGAGTAGCTGGGATTATAGGTGCCCACCTCCATGCCCTGCTAATTTTTTATATTTTAAGTAGAGACGGTGTTTCACCATGTTGGCCAGGCTGGTCTCGAGCTCCTGAACTTCAGGTGATCCATCCACCTCGGCCTCCCAAAGTGCTGGGATTACAGGCATGAGCCACCATGCCCAGCCTATTTTATTTTTTTGAGGCAGGGTCTTGTTCTGTCACTCAGGCTGGAGTACAGTGGCATAATCATAACTCACTGCAGCCTTGAACTCCTGGGCTTAAGGGATGCTCCCACCTCAGCCTCCTGAGTAGCTGGAACTATAGGTGCACACCACCACACCTGGCTAATTTTTGTATTTTTTGTAGAGACCAGGTTTCTCCATCTTGCCCAGGCTGGTCTCGAACTCCTGAGCTCAAGGGATCCACCTGCCTCAGCCTTCCAAAGTGCTGGGATTACAAGTGTGAGCCACTGCACCCAGCCCATGGTCTGTCATTTTATTTATTTATTTATTTTTTGAGACAGAGTCTCGTTCTGTCACCAGGCTGGAGTGCAGTGACGCAATCTCGGCTCACTGCAACCTCCGCCTCCCGGATTCAAGTGATTCTCCTGCCCCAGCCTACCGAGTAGCTGGGACTACAGGTGCCTGCCACCACGTCCGGCTAATTTTTGTATTTTCAGTAGAGAGAGGGTTTCACCATGTTTTTCAGGATGGTCTCAATCTCTTGACCTCGCGATCCACCCGCCTCTGCCTCCCAAACTGCTAGGATTACAGGTGTGAGCCACCGTGCCCGGCCTATTTTTTATTTATTTTTATTTTTATTTTTTGAGACAGAGTCTCACTCTGTCACCCAGCCTGGATTGATCTCCATCCAGCGCGATCTCGGCTCACTGCAGCCTCTACTTCCTGGGTTCCAGCAATTCTCCTACCTCAGCCTCCCAAGTATCTGGGATTACAGACACCCACCACCATGCCTGGCTAATTTTTTTTTTATTATTATTTTTAGTAGAGATCGCCACATTGGCCAGGCTGGTCTAGAACTCCTGACCTCAGATGATCCGCCCGCCTTGGCCTCCCAAAGTGCTGGGATTACGGGCATGAGCCACCGTGCCCGGCCTTAAAGAGGGAAAGTGGCCAGGCATGGAGGCTCACGCCCATAATCCCAGCACTTTGGGAGGCCTAGGTAGGCAGGTCACAAGGTCAGGAGATCAAGATTACCCTGGCTAACACGGTGAAACCCTGTCTCTACTAAAAATACAAAAAATTAGCCAGGCATGGCGGCGGACGCCTGTAATCCCAGCTACTCAAGAAGCTGAGGCTGGAGAATCGCTTGAACCTAGGAGGCGGGGGTTGCAGTGAGCTGAGATTGCACCACTGCATTCCAGTCTGGGCGCAGAGCGAGACTCCATCTCAAAACAAATAAATAAAATTTAAAAGGAGGGAAAGCTAACTGCTACCTTTCAGGGTAGTGATAAGGAACAAATGAGGTAATCCAAATAAAACACTGACTCTTGGGGTCCCGGTGAGCCAGTGGTTCTCATGGAGGCGAGTAGGAGGCCTGGGCATCAGCCTGTGAATGCAGTGAGGCCCCTTCCGCAGGATGCCTGACCTACGACCTACCTGAAATTCACCAACTGACAGGGCAACACTTGACCCAGAACCTCATCAGTCCCTGGCAGACAGGGTTGTTAAAACTTTGGAATATCATCCCTGTTTACCATCTTCCTTCTTCCCATCCAGGAGAGGTGTCAGGAAAATATTTTGGGGGATGTGAAATGGGGTATATGTGGGGAAAAGGCCTTTGAGTCCAGACAGTATGAGTGATAAATGGGAAAGAAGATTTTTCAGGGGATGGGAATTGTATGAGGAACTCCTGATGCCGGACACCTCTGAAGACACGTGGCCCACGGCATACGGAAGGACACCCTCAAAGATGGGTGACAGCTCCCAGGCTTTGTGGAGGGCAGAGGAGAGGGTCCGGAGAGCTCTGCTCTCAAGTCTGCGGGCCTGGATCTCTAAATAGGTGCCGCCTGTCATTACCAGCGCTGTGTGACTTTGGATAAGTCTGGCTTTTGAACTCAAACCTTCAACTGAAAAGAGTCTTCAAGGCCCTGATGGTGCCTGCAGGGGAAGGTGGCTGCGCGGTGCTTTCTCTGCTGCTGACTGCCTGAGCTTGCGTTTCAGTTGTCTGCTCTTCCCTTTGTTTTTTGGGGGGTTTTTTTTTGAGACGGAGTTTTGCTCTTGTTGCCCAGGCTGGAGTGCAGTGGCGTGACCTCGTCTCACTGCAACCTCCAGCTCCCAGGTTCAAGTGATTCTCCTGCCTCAGCCTCCCAAGTAGCTGGGATTACAGGCACGTGCCACCACGCCCGGCTAATTTTTTGTATTTTTAGTAGAGATGTGGGTTTCACCATGTTGGTCAGGCTGGTCTTGAACTCCTGACCTCAGGTGATCCACCCCTCTTGGCCTCCCAAACTGCTGGGATTACGGGCGTGAGCCCCCGCGCCTGGCCTTGCTCTTCCCTCTGGACGAGTCTCCCAGCAAGAGGTGAGGTAGGAGTTGTGATTCTGCCGCTTTTTAAGTCCAGATCCCTAGGGCATCAGGTCTCTGAGTAAGGCGTGGGACCAGGCCTCCTGGTCTTGTGGCCTTTCCAGTGCCCTCCAGAGGCTGGAGCAAGCTGGCAGTTGTGTATGGGTCAGTGGTCTTCAATGGTTGCCTGGCAGCTGCGCCAGAAACCCCCTTCTAAGATTTATGGGGCTGGAAGGATGTGAGGATGTCCTCTCCTAATTTGAATATCTACCAGCTTAGGTCCAATTTTTAAAAACTCACAAATTATTTTGATATGTAAATGAGACCATTGTGATAAATGACAACATGCAAATCTTTGACTTCCTCTGAGCCCTGGAGATTGGGCCAAAGGGACTTGAGAGTGCTGTGACAGGCTTCCCTGAACCTATGGACTGGACCTGTGCTACTATATTGTTTGGAGGTGAATTGGGAATATGCAAATTATCTTGTCACTGTACTTCTCTGGGCCCGCAGAACAAGGCTCTGCAATAATCTGCGTGACCTCCCAGGTTTGACTGGACACAGCTAAACAAATAACCTGGCAGAGGCTCCGGGGAGGGGTCTGGGCTCACCCAGGTGTCCTCTCTGGCCACAGTACTGCACCCCTCCCCACTTCCTGGGGGCTTTTCCTCTCACTTCCCTCCTTGAGGACCCTCTTCTGCTCCTCCTCTAGGTTCCCCTGACATAATTTCTGTTTCTCCGCAGAAGGAAGAGGCCCAGCAGAAGGGACTCGCTGAGCCACCCCCCGCCCCACTCCATGTTGGCTGTGCTCTCAGGTGAGAAGGTACCCAGAGGCCTACAGTGAGGACAAAGTAGACCCAAGGCAGCAGGCCAGCAGGGGCGGCCATTTTGTCTAGGCTGGGGAGTTCTGTGAAATGGCTATCAGGAGTTGTGGAGCTTCCTCCTCCTTCCCATGAGAGAGATTTGCCTCACTTACATCTCTAGTCTGTGACTTCAGAGGTCATGACCCCTTGACCTTCACCATGACCTGAGGTATCTCTGGCCTCTTCCAGCCTCAGAAGTGAGTTAGACATACTGGTCTTGGATGCTGGCCAGACTTGGGTGGCTAAGGGCCAACCCCTGACTTCTGTGACCAGAAGTGATTCAGCCTTCCACTAGTTTCTGACCAGCAGCTCCTGATCCTCTCTCTGCCTGATTTTAGAAGCCCCTGCCCTCTGCCCAGCCTCTGAGACTCTACCCGGCCTCTTCTCCCACTGTCTAGGCTGGCACCATGCCCCCCCCTGCAGAGGTGACGGACCCGTCCCATGCCCCCGCCGTCCTGCGCCAGCTCAATGAACAGCGGCTCCGTGGCCTCTTCTGTGACGTCACCCTCATAGCCGGAGACACCAAGTTCCCTGCTCACCGCAGCGTCCTGGCTGCTTCAAGTCCCTTCTTCAGAGAGGCCCTGCTCACTTCAGCCCCACTACCCCTTCCACCAGCTACTGGGGGCGCCGCACCCAACCCTGCCACCACCACAGCTGCCTCTTCCTCCTCCTCCTCTTCCTCGTCTTCTTCCTCTTCTTCCTCCTCTGCTTCTTCTTCTTCTTCCTCTTCCTCTTCCTCTCCCCCTCCAGCCTCTCCCCCTGCTTCTTCCCCACCCCGGGTCCTGGAGTTGCCAGGAGTCCCAGCAGCTGCGTTTTCTGATGTCCTCAACTTCATCTACAGCGCCCGGCTCGCACTGCCTGGTGGTGGAGGGGACGGGGCAGCTGTAGCAGAGATTGGAGCTTTGGGGCGCCGTCTGGGCATCTCCCGCCTTCAGGGCCTGGGGGAGGGAGGTGATGCCTGGGTACCTCCTACCCCAGCCCCCATGGCCACCTCGCAGCCTGAAGAGGACAGCTTTGGGCCCGGGCCCAGGCCAGCTGGGGAGTGGGAGGGTGACAGGGCTGAGGCCCAGGCCCCTGACTTGCAGTGCTCCCTGCCCCGGCGGCCCCTCCCCTGCCCCCAGTGTGGAAAAAGCTTCATCCATCCCAAACGGCTGCAGACCCATGAGGCCCAGTGCCGACGAGGGGCCAGCACGCGGGGGTCTACAGGGCTGGGAGCTGGGGGCGCTGGCCCTGGTGGTCCTGCAGGGGTGGACGCCTCAGCCCTGCCTCCACCAGTGGGCTTCCGAGGGGGCCCCGAGCACGTGGTGAAGGTGGTGGGCGGCCACGTGCTGTATGTGTGCGCGGCCTGCGAGCGTTCCTACGTGACCCTGTCCAGTCTGAAGAGACACAGCAATGTACACTCGTGGCGGAGGAAGTACCCCTGCCGCTATTGTGAGAAAGTGTTTGCTCTGGCGGAGTACCGCACGAAGCATGAAGTGTGGCACACGGGGGAGCGCAGGTGAGTGATCCAGGCTGGCGGGGGAGCGGCTGGAGGCTGGCACTCAGCGGTCATAGGAACAAGGGCGGCAGTGGGTGGGGCTTGGGGCCTAGAAAGTTATCCTGAAACTAGGCTAGCTGCAGTAATCCCAGCACTGTGGTTAGCTGAGGTGGGAGGATCGCTTGTGGCCAGGAGTCTGGGACGAGCCTGGACAACATAGAGACCCCATCTCTACAAACAATTTTTTTTTCTTTTTTTTTTTTTTTTTGAGACAGAGCCTCTCTCTGTAGCCCAGGCTGGAGTGCAGTGGTGCCTTCTCGGCTCACTGCCACCTCCGCCTCCCAGGTCCCAGTTCAAGCAATTCTGCCTCAGCCTCCCGAATAGCTGGGATTACAGGCATGCGCCACCATGCCCAGCTAATTTTTTTTTGTATTTTTAGTAGAGTCAGGGTTTCATCATGTTGGTCAGGATGGTCTTGAACTCCTGACCTCGTGATCTGCCCGCCTTGGCCTCCCAAAGTGCTGGGATTACAGGCGTGAGCCACCACACCTGGCATTTTTTTTATTTTTTTTTTTTGAGACAGAGTCTCGCCCTGTTGCCCAGGCTGGAGTGCAGTGGCGTGATCTCGGCTCACTGCAAGCTCCACTTCCCAGGTTCACGCCATTCTCCTGCCTCAGCCTCCCGAGTAGCTGGGACTACAGGCGCCCGCCATCACGCCCGGCTAATTTTTTGTATTTTTAGTAGAGACGGGGTTTCACCGTGTTAGCCAGTATGGTCTCGATTTCCTGACCTTGTGATCCACCCGCCTTGGCCTCCCAAAGTGCTGAGATTACAGGCATGAGCCACCGCGCCCGGCGGCATTTTTTTTTTTTTAAGACGGCATTTTTTTTTTTTAAGACCGAGTCTCGCTCTGTCCCCCAGGCTGGAGTGCAGTGGCGCAATCTCAGCTCAGTGCAACCTCTACCTCCTGGGTTCAAGCGATTCTCCTGCCTCAGCTTCCCGAGTATCTGGGATTACAGGTGCGCGCCACCACGCCCAGCTAATTTTTGTATTTTTAGTAGAGACAGGGTTTCACCATGTTGGCCAAGCTGTTCTTGAACTCCTGACCTCAGGTGATTCGCCAACCTCAGCCTCCCAAAGTGCTGGGAGTACAGGGATGAGCCACTGCGCTCAGCCTCTACAAGCAATTTGAGAATTTAAAAAAAAAGCCATCCTGAGGCCCCTGCTCACCACCACTCACCGGTCTGCCTCCCTCCAGCCCCAGTTCCTTCAGCTGAGGTTTTTTTTTTTTTTTTTTTTTCTTTTTTTGACAGAGTCTCACTCTGTCGCCCAGGCGGGAGTGCAGTGGTGCAATCTTGGCTCACTGCAACCTCACCTCCAGGGTTCATCAGCTGAGGTTTGTTAGGGCCTCTTTGTGCCATGTCCTGGCTTGCTGCTGTGGGGAAGGCCTAGAAGGAAAGAGAAAACTCCCCTCACCAGAAAGGACTGTGGCAGCACAGGCATGTCCGGGAGTCATTACACTATTCCGAGCAGGGCCTTGTGTTTCCACGTGGTGTCCCTGTTCGTAAGTCGTTTCCCCATTCTGCCATTTGGGCTTGAGAAGAAGGCTCCGTGAGTTAGGCTGCGTCCCAGATGGAATAGCTGAGGCCTAGAGTCTCACAGCCAGTGGAGGCACTGAGCTCAGACGGGCACCCTGCACTGAGGCTGGCCTGGTGAGGGAGGCAGCACAAGGCTACGGGAGTCACAGGTTTGAGTGCAGGGTGTAGGAGGACCTGGGAGGCTTCAGGGCCCTTGACTCAAGTGCCTGTGTTCCTGCCCTATTCCCTGCTGTCCTGACCCAGGTACCAGTGCATCTTCTGTTGGGAGACCTTTGTCACTTACTATAACCTGAAGACCCACCAGCGAGCCTTCCACGGCATTAGCCCGGGCCTCCTTGCCAGTGAGAAGACACCCAATGGAGGCTACAAGCCCAAGCTCAATACACTCAAGCTCTACCGCCTGCTCCCCATGCGGGCAGCCAAGCGGCCCTACAAGACCTACAGCCAGGGAGCCCCGGAGGCTCCCCTTTCTCCAACCCTCAACACACCGGCCCCTGTGGCAATGCCAGCCAGCCCGCCGCCTGGGCCTCCACCTGCCCCAGAGCCTGGCCCTCCACCCTCTGTCATCACTTTTGCCCACCCAGCCCCCTCTGTCATTGTCCATGGGGGCAGTAGCAGTGGTGGAGGGGGGAGTGGGACGGCCAGCACAGGAGGGTCCCAAGCTGCCTCGGTTATCACTTACACTGCTCCCCCGAGGCCACCCAAGAAACGAGAATACCCACCTCCTCCCCCTGAGCCTGCAGCCACACCCACCAGCCCAGCCACAGCAGTCAGCCCAGCCACCGCTGCAGGGCCAGCCATGGCCACCACCACGGAGGAGGCCAAGGGCCGGAATCCACGGGCTGGAAGGACTCTGACTTACACAGCCAAGCCAGTGGGCGGGATTGGTGGAGGTGGGGGTCCCCCCACAGGGGCTGGCCGGGGCCCCTCTCAGCTGCAGGCTCCACCTCCACTGTGTCAGATCACTGTGCGAATAGGGGAGGAGGCCATCGTCAAGCGCCGCATCTCAGAGACTGACCTGCGTCCTGGGGAGCTGAGCGGAGAGGAGATGGAGGAGAGTGAGGAGGACGAAGAGGAGGAGGACGAAGAGGAGGAGGAGGAGGATGAGGAGGAATCAAAGGCTGGTGGGGAGGACCAGCTCTGGAGGCCCTACTACTCCTACAAGCCTAAGCGCAAGGCTGGAGCTGCTGGAGGTGCCAGTGTGGGGGGCAGTGGGCTGCCCCGAGGCCGCCGGCCACCACGTTGGAGGCAGAAGCTGGAACGGAGGAGCTGGGAGGAAACCCCAGCGGCCGAGAGCCCAGCGGGACGTGCCCGCACAGAGCGGAGGCACCGATGCGGGGACTGTGCCCAGACCTTCACCACCCTGAGAAAGCTGCGGAAGCACCAAGAGGCCCACGGTGGGGGCTCCCACAGCTCCCGGGCCGGACGGAGGCCCTCCACCCGCTTTACCTGCCCCCACTGCGCCAAGGTGTGCAAGACCGCAGCTGCCCTGAGCCGCCACGGGCAGAGGCATGCTGCTGAGCGGCCCGGGGGCACCCCAACCCCTGTCATTGCCTATTCCAAGGGCAGCGCTGGCACCAGGCCCGGGGATGTCAAGGAGGAAGCCCCCCAAGAGATGCAAGTCTCCTCATCCAGCGGTGAGGCAGGTGGCGGGAGCACTGCTGCTGAGGAAGCTTCCGAGACCGCCTCACTCCAGGACCCTATCATTTCAGGGGGTGAGGAGCCCCCAGTAGTGGCAAGCGGGGGCAGCTATGTATACCCACCTGTGCAGGAATTTCCACTGGCCTTGATTGGGGGCGGCCGGGAACCTGGCGGTGGCAGGGGAAAATCTGGGAGTGAAGGGCCAGTGGGGGCTGGTGAGGGGGACCGGATGGAGGGGATAGGGGCTGCCAAAGTCACTTTCTACCCTGAGCCCTACCCGCTCGTCTATGGCCCCCAGCTCCTTGCCGCCTACCCTTACAACTTCAGTAACTTGGCCGCTCTCCCGGTTGCTCTCAACATGGTCCTACCTGATGAGAAGGGTGCGGGGGCCCTTCCCTTCCTACCAGGGGTCTTTGGCTACGCAGTGAATCCTCAAGCAGCACCCCCTGCCCCACCAACACCACCTCCCCCAACTCTTCCTCCACCAATTCCCCCTAAGGGAGAAGGGGAAAGGGCAGGGGTTGAGAGAACCCAGAAGGGCGATGTGGGGTGAACCCTGGGGCTCAATCCCCCTTTCACCAGATGCCACCCTCCCTGAACCCCCCACCACTACCAGCTCCCTGGCCTCCCTGCCCCTTGGGAGCCCCTTCACACTCTTGTGCAGGGACTTGGGGGCCCCTGGAGCTCAGGGGTCAGGCTGCTTTGTGTGAGATGTAGTTTTCCCATCTCCTGGGAAGGGATCTTTCGAGGTTCCCCTCTCAGTCTTCCTCCAGGGAATGGCCTCCATGAGGGGCAGGGCCAGCTTCCATCCCTTCTCCAGCCCTTGGGGCAACTGAGCAATATACTTAACCTGAATCTCTACTCACAGCCCCCACCAGCTCTGAATGTCTAACCTGCTCCCCTGATTCGTAAACCTAGGGGAAACCATCTCTCTCACCTAATGACCCGCCTTGTTCTGAAGCTTTCTCTAAGCCCTTCCCAGTTGCTTCCTAGCACATTCCATTCTTTGTGGCCCAGGGCCTGGACCAGACCATTGTGATACCTGACCCCGCCCACCTGGGAGTGTGGCTTTGGGTTTCATCCTTCCCCAGCGTGGGTCTCTACGTCCCTGTTTCCCTTGTATCAAGACACCTTCCTCAGCTTCCATGCCTTTGGATCTTCCATGTTCCTCCCCATATTCCTGGACTTCGGAGATGGCCTCTCCCAAGCCAGGTCAAGGAGGTTTGGGGGAGGGTTGCCCCTCTGCCCCTCTGTTCTGTGGCTGAGCACTTTCCCAGTCCAGGGCAGGGAAATATTGGCCCTATCTTGACCCCCAAATCCAGTGAGCTCCAGATTCTTCCAAGGCAAAAGAGGTAAGCAGATCACACCTCTTTCTGCCTCTACATATGGCCTATTCTGGGCTAGACCAGATTTGGGGGCCAGGAGGGAAGAACTCCATATGGGATGGAGAAGGGAATCTACTTTCTCCCTGTTTTTTTTTCCTGATGGTTTCTCCCAGACTAGACCAAATAGCCAGAAAAATGATAGGGGTCGGATGGGTGGGTAAGCCCAGGATTTGCACATGACCTTCCATCCTTACCTGTATTCCCATCTCCCCAGTGTCACTCCCCTCACCAATCACTCCAGATGGTTTTGGGGGAACCATTCTACTCTTCTGGTGGGCTTTGGGGTATCCCCACCAACTT